>NC_000003.12:91553419-91722495 GCF_000001405.40 Homo sapiens | reverse complement strand
TATTTCCTTTTCTACCATTGGCCTCAAAGCTTTGAAATCTCCACTTGCAAATTCCACAAAAAGAGAGTTTCAACTCTGCTGTTTCTAAAGGAAAGTTCAACTCTGAGAGTTGAATACACACCAGAAAAAGCAGTTACTGAGAAGTCTTCTGTCTAGCATTATATGAAGAAATCCCATTTCCAACGAAGACTTCAAAGAGGTCCAAATATCCACTTGCAGATTCTGCAAAAAGAGTGTTTCGAAACAACTGTATGAAAAGAAAGGTTAAACACTGTGAGTTGAACGCACACATTGCAAAGCAGTTTCTGAGAATGATTCCGTCTAATTATTATACCGAAGGTATTTCCTTTTCTATCATTGGCCTCAAAGCGCTTGATACCTCCACCTGAAAATTCCACAAAAAGAGTGTTTCCAATCTACTCTGTCTAAAGGAACGTTCAACTCTGTGAGTTGAATACACACACACAGAAAGAATTCACTGAGAATTCTTCTGTCTGGCATTACATGAAGAAATCCCGTTTCCAACGAAGGCCTCAAAGAGGTCCAAATATCCACTTGCAGATTCTGCAAAAAGAGTGTTTCAAAACCGCTCCATTAAAAGGAATGTTGAACTCTGTGAGTTGAATGCAAACATCACAACTCAGTTTCTGAGAATGCTTCTGACTAGATTTTATGGTAAGATATTTCCTTTTCTACCGTAGGCTTCAATGCCCTCTAAATACACCCTTGCAAATTCTACAAAGAGACTGTTTCATAACTGCTCTATAGGAAGAAAGGTTCAACTCTGTGAGTTGAATGCAGAGATCACAACGTGGTTTCTGCGAATGATTCTTTGTAGTTTTTACATGAAGATATTTCGTTGTCAACCGTAGGCTTCAAAGCACTCAAAGTATTCACTTGGAACTTTTACAAAAAGAGTGTTAGAAAACTGCTCTTTCCAAAGTAAGGTTCAACTCTGTGAGTTGAATGCACACATAACAATCAAGAAGTTTCTGAGAATTCTTCTGTCCTGGTTTATAGGAACAAATCCCGTTTCCAACGAAGGCCTCAAAGACGTTTAAATATCCACTTGCAGACTTCACAAACAGAGGGTTTCCAAACTGCTCTATGAAAAGAAAGGTTAAACTCTGTGAGTTGAACGCACACATCACAAAGTAGTTTCTGAGAATGATACTGTCTAGTTTTTATACGAAGATATTTCCTTTCTACCATTGGCGTCAAAGCGCTAGAATTCTCCACTTGCAAATTCCACAAAAAGAGTGTTTCCAATCTGCTCTGTCTAAAGGAAGGTTCAACTCTGTGAGTTGAATACACACACACAAAGAAGCTACTGAGAATTCTTTTGTCAAGAATTATAAGAAGAAATCCCGTTTCCAACGAAGGCCTCAAAGAGTTCCAAATATCCACTTGCACACTGCACAAACTAAGTCTTTCCAAACTGCTCTATGCAAAGAAATGTTCAACTCTGTGAGTTTAATACACACATCACAAAGCAGTTTCTGAGAATGATTACTGTCTAGTTTTTATACGAAGAATATTTCCTTTTGTACCATTGGCCTCATACTGCTAGAATTTTCCACTTGCAAATTCCACAAAAAGAGTGTTTCCAATCCGCTCTGTCTAAAGGAAGGTTCAACTCTCTGATTTGAATACATACATCCCAAAAGAAGTTACTGAGAATTCTTCTGTCTAGCATTATGTGAAGTAAATCCCGTTTCCAACGAAAGCCTCAAAGAGGTCCAAATATCCAGTTGCAGAATTTACAAACTGACTGTTTCCAAACTCATCTATGAAAAGAAAGGTTAAACTCTGGGAGTTGAATGCACATATCACAAAGTAGTTCCTGAGAATGATTCTGTCTAGTTTTTATACGAAGATATTCCCTTTTCCACCAATGGCCACAAAGTGCTTGAAATCTCCCCTTGCAAATTCCACAGAAAAGTGTTTCAAATCTGTACTGTCTGAAGGAAGGTTCAACCCTGTGAGTTGAATACACACACACAGAAAAAAATTCACTGAGAATTCTATTGTCTATCATTACCCGAAGAAATCCCGTTTACTACGAAGGCCTCAAAGAGGTCCAAATATCCAGCTGCAGACATTCCAAACTGACTGTTTCCAAAGTGCTCTATGAAAAGAAGTGTTAAACACTGTGAGTTCAATGCACACATCCCAAAGCAGTTTCTGAGAATGATTCCGTCTATTTTTTCTACGAAGATATTTCCTTTTCTACCGTTGGCCTCAAAGCGCTTGAAATCTCCACTTGCAAATTCCACAAAAAGAGAGTTTCAAATCTGCTCTGTCTAAAGGAAGGTTCAACTCTGTGAGTTGAATACACACCACAAAAAGAAGTTACTGAGAATTCTTCTGTCTAGCATTATATGAAAAATCCCGTTTCCAACGAAGGCCACAAAGAGGTCCAAATATCCACTTGCAGATTCTGCAAAAAGAGTGTCTCCAAACTGCTCTATGAAAAGAAACGTTAAACTCTGTGAGTTGAACGCAAACATCACAAAGTAGTTTCTGAGAATGACTCCGTCTAGTTTTTATACGAAGATATTTCCTTTTCTACCGTTGGCCTCAAAGCGCTTGAAGTCTCCCCCTGAAAATTCCACAAAAAGTGTTTCCAATCTGCTCCGCCTAAAGGAAGCTTCAACTCTGTGAGTTGAATACCCACAACACAAAGAAGTTACTGAGAATTCTTCTGTCTAGCATTATATGAAGAAATCCCGTTTCCAACGAAGGCCTCAAATACATCCAAATATCCAGTGGCTGACTTTACAAACTGAGTGTTTCCAAGCTGCTCTATGAAAGGAAAGGTTAAACACTGTGAGTTGAACACACACGTACCAAAGTAGTTTCTGAGAATGATTCTGTCTAGTTGGCATACGAAGATATTTCCTTTTCTACCATTGGCCTCAATGCTTTGAAATCTCCACTTGCAAATTCCACAAAAAGAGAGTTTCATATCTGCTGTTTCTAAAGGAAAGTTCAACTCTGAGAGTTGAATACACACCAGAAAAACCAGTTACTGAGAAGTCTTCTGTCTAGCATTATATGAAGAAATCCCATTTCCAACGAAGACTTCAAAGAGGTCCAAATATCCACTTCCAGATTCCGCAAAAAGGGTGTTTCGAAACAACTGTATGAAAAGAAAGGTTAAACACTGTGAGTTGAAGGCACACATTGCAAAGCAGTTTCTGAGAATGATTCCATCTAATTATTATACGAAGGTATTTCCTTTTCTATCATGGGCCTCAAAGCGCTTGATACCTCCACGTGAACATTCCACAAAAAGAGTGTTTCCAATCTACTCTGTCTAAGGGAACGTTCAACTCTGTGAGTTGAGTACACACACACAGAAAGAATTCACTGAGAGTTCTTCTGTCTGGGATTACATGAAGAAATCCCGTTTCCAACGAAGGCCTCAAAGAGGTCCAAATATCCACTTGCAGATTCTGGAAAAAGAGTGTTTCAAAACCGCTCTATGAAAAGGAATGTTGAACTCTGTGAGTTGAATGCAAACATCACAACTCAGTTTCTGAGAATGCTTCTGACTAGATTTTATGGTCAGATATTTCCTTTTCTACCGTAGGCCTCAATGCCCTCTAAATACACCCTTGCAAATTCTACAAAGAGACTGTTTAATAACTGCTCTATAGGAAGAAAGGTTGAACTCTGTGAGTTGAATGCAGAGATCACAACGTGGTTTCGACGAATGATTCTTTGCAGTTTTTACATGAAGATATTTCGTTGTCTACCGTAGGCTTCAAAGCACTCAAAGTATTCACTTGGAACTTTTACAAAAAGAGTGTTAGAAAACTGCTCTTTCCGAAGTAAGGTTCAACTCTGTGAGTTGAATGCACACATAACAAACAAGAAGTTTCTGAGAATTCTTCTGTCCTGGTTTATATGAAAAAATCCCGTTTCCAACGAAGGCCTCAAAGACGTTTAAATATCCTCTTGCAGACTTCACAAACAGAGTGTTTCCAAACTGCTCTATGAAAAGAAAGGTTAAACTCTGTGAGTTGAACGCACACATCACAAAGTAGTTTCTCAGAATGATACTGTCTAGTTTTTATACGGAGATATTTCCTTTCCTACCATTGGCGTCAAAGCGCTAGAATTCTCCACTTGCCAATTCCACAAAAAGTGGGTTTCCAATCTGCTCTGCCTAAAGGAAGGTTCAACTCTGTGAGTTGAATACACACACACAAAGAAGCTACTGAGAATTCTTTTGTCAAGAATTATAAGAAGAAATCCCGTTTCCAACGAAGGCCTCAAAGAGTTCCAAATATCCACTTGCACACTGTACAAACTAAGTCTTTCCAAACTGCTCTATGCAAAGAAATGTTCAACTCTGTGAGTTTAATGCACACATCACAAAGCAGTTTCTGAGAATGATTCCCTCTAGTTTTTATACGAAGATAGCCTTTTCTACCATTGGCCTCAAGGCTCTTGGAATCTCCACCTGAAAATTCCGCAAAAAGCGTGTTTCCAATCCGCTCTGTCTAAAGGAAGGTTCAACTCTCTGAGTTGAATACATACATCCCAAAAGAAGTTACTGAGAATTCTTCTGTCTAGCATTATGTGAAGAAATCCCGTTTCCAACGAAAGCCTCAAAGAGGTCCAAATATCCAGTTGCAGAATTTACAAACTGACTGTTTCCAAACTCATCTATGAAAAGAAAGGTTAAACTCTGTGAGTTGAATGCACATATCACAAAGTAGTTCCTGACAATGACTCTGTCTAGTTTTTATACGAAGATATTCCCTTTTCCACCAATGGCCACAAAGTGCTTGAAATCTCCCCTTGCAAATTCCACAGAAAAGTGTTTCAAATCTGTACTGTCTGAAGGAAGGTTCAACCCTGTGAGTTGAATACACACACACAGAAAAAAATTCACTGAGAATTCTATTGTCTATCATTACCCGAAGAAATCCCGTTTACTACGAAGGCCTCAAAGAGGTCCAAATATCCAGCTGCAGACATTCCAAACTGACTGTTTCCAAAGTGCTCTATGAAAAGAAGTGTTAAACACTGTGAGTTCAATGCACACATCCCAAAGCAGTTTCTGAGAATGATTCCGTCTATTTTTTCTACGAAGATATTTCCTTTTCTACCGTTGGCCTCAAAGCGCTTGAAATCTCCACTTGCAAATTCCACAAAAAGAGAGTTTCAAATCTGCTCTGTCTAAAGGAAGGTTCAACTCTGTGAGTTGAATACACACCACAAAAAGAAGTTACTGAGAATTCTTCTGTCTAGCATTATATGAAAAATCCCGTTTCCAACGAAGGCCACAAAGAGGTCTAAATATCCACTTGCAGATTCTGCAAAAAGAGTGTTTCCAAACTGCTCTATGAAAAGAAACGTTAAACTCTGTGAGTTTAACGCAAACATCACAAAGTAGTTTCTGAGAATGACTCCGTCTAGTTTTTATACGAAGATATTTCCTTTTCTACCATTCACTTCAAAGCGCTTGAAGTCTCCCCCTGAAAATTCCACAAAAAGTGTTTCCAATCTGCTCCGCCTAAAGGAAGCTTCAACTCTGTGAGTTGAATACCCACAACCCAAAGAAGTTACTGAGAATTCTTCTGTCTAGCACTATATGAAGAAATCCCGTTTCCAACGAAGGCCTCAAATACATCCAAATATCCAGTTGCTGACTTTACAAACTGAGTGTTTCCAAACTGCTCTATGAAAAGAAAGGTTAAACACTGTGAGTTGAACACACACGTACCAAAGTAGTTTCTGAGAATGATTCTGTCTAGTTTGCATACGAAGATATTTCCTTTTCTACCATTGGCCTCAAAGCTCTGAAATCTCCACTTGCAAATTCCACAAAAAGAGAGTTTCAAATCTGCTGTTTCTAAAGGAAAGTTCAACTCTGAGAGTTGAATACACACCAGAAAAAGCAGTTACTGAGAAGTCTTCTGTCTAGCATTATATGAAGAAATCCCATTTCCAACGAAGACTTCAAAGAGGTCCAAATATCCACTTGCAGATTCTGCAAAAAGAGTGTTTCGAAACAACTGTATGAAAAGAAAGGTTAAACACTGTGAGTTGAACGCACACATTGCAAAGCAGTTTCTGAGAATGATTCCGTCTAATTATTATACGAAGGTATTTCCTTTTCTATCATTGGCCTCAAAGCGCTTGATACCTCCACCTGAAAATTCCACAAAAAGAGTGTTTCCAATCTACTCTGTCTAAAGGAACGTTCAACTCTGTGAGTTGAATACACACACACAGAAAGAATTCACTGAGAATTCTTCTGTCTGGCATTACATGAAGAAATCCCGTTTCCAATGAAGGCCTCAAAGAGGTCCAAATATCCACTTGCAGATTCTGCAAAAAGAGTGTTTCAAAACCGCTCCATTAAAAGGAATGTTGAACTCTGTGAGTTGAATGCAAACATCACAACTCAGTTTCTGAGAATGCTTCTGACTAGATTTTATGGTAAGATATTTCCTTTTCTACCGTAGGCTTCAATGCCCTCTAAATACACCCTTGCAAATTCTACAAAGAGACTGTTTCATAACTGCTCTATAGGAAGAAAGGTTCAACTCTGTGAGTTGAATGCAGAGATCACAACGTGGTTTCTGCGAATGATTCTTTGTAGTTTTTACATGAAGATATTTCGTTGTCAACCGTAGGCTTCAAAGCACTCAAAGTATTCACTTGGAACTTTTACAAAAAGAGTGTTAGAAAACTGCTCTTTCCAAAGTAAGGTTCAACTCTGTGAGTTGAATGCACACATAACAATCAAGAAGTTTCTGAGAATTCTTCTGTCCTGGTTTATATGAAAAAATCCCGTTTCCAACGAAGGCCTCAAAGACGTTTAAATATCCACTTGCAGACTTCACAAACAGAGGGTTTCCAAACTGCTCTATGAAAAGGAAGGTTAAACTCTGTGAGTTGAACGCACACATCACAAAGTAGCTTCTGAGAATGATACTGTCTAGTTTTTATACGAAGATATTTCCTTTCTACCATTGGCGTCAAAGCGCTAGAATTCTCCACTTGCAAATTCCACAAAAAGAGTGTTTCCAATCTGCTCTGTCTAAAGGAAGGTTCAACTCTGTGAGTTGAATACACACACACAAAGAAGCTACTGAGAATTCTTTTGTCAAGAATTATAAGAAGAAATCCCGTTTCCAACGAAGGCCTCAAAGAGTTCCAAATATCCACTTGCACACTGCACAAACTAAGTCTTTCCATACTGCTCTATGCAAAGAAATGTTCAAATCTGTGAGTTTAATATGCACATCACAAAGCAGTTTCTGAGAATGATTCCCTCTAGTTTTTATACGAAGATAGCCTTTTCTACCATTGGTCTCAAGGCTCTTGGAATCTCCACCTGAAAATTCCGCAAAAAGCGTGTTTCCTATGCGCTCTGTCTAAAGGAAGGTTCAACTCTCTGAGTTGAATACATACATCCCAAAAGAAGTTACTGCGAATTCTTCTGTCTAGCATTATGTGAAGAAATCCCGTTTCCAACGAAAGCCTCAAAGAGGTCCAAATATCCAGTTGCAGAATTTCCAAACTGACTGTTTCCAAACTCATCTATGAAAAGAAAGGTTAAAACCTGTGAGTTGAATGCACATATCACAAAGTAGTTCCTGAGAATGCTTCTGTCTAGTTTTTATACGAAGATATTCCCTTTTCCACCAATGGCCTCAAAGTGCTTGAAATCTCCCCTTACAAATTCCACAGAAAAGTGTTTCAAATCTGCACTGTCTGAAGGAAGGTTCAACCCTGTGAGTTGAATACACACACACAGAAAAAAATTCACTGAGAATTCTATTGTCTATCATTACACGAAGAAATCCCGTTTACTACGAAGGCCTCAAAGAGGTCCACATATCCAGCTGCAGACATTACAAACTGAGTGTTTCCAAAGTGCTCTATGAAAAGAAGTGTTAAACACTGTGAGTTCAATGCACACATCCCAAAGCAGTTTCTGAGAATGATTCCGTCTATTTTTTCTACGAAGATATTTCCTTTTCTACCGTTGGCCTCAAAGTGCTTGAAATCTCCAATGCAAATTCCACAAAAAGAGAGTTTCAAATCTGCTCTGTCTAAAGGAAGGTTCAACTCTGTGAGTTGAATACACACCACAAAAAGAAGTTACTGAGAATTCTTCTGTCTAGCATTATATGAAAAATCCCGTTTCCAACGAAGGCCACAAAGAGGTCCAAATATCCACTTGCAGATTCTGCAAAAACAGTGTCTCCAAACTGCTCTATGAAAAGAAACGTTAAACTCTGTGAGTTGAACGCAAACATCACAAAGTAGTTTCTGAGAATGACTCCGTCTAGTTTTTATACGGAGATATTTCCTTTTCTACCGTTGGCCTGAAAGCGCTTGAAGTCTCCCCCTGAAAATTCCACAAAAAGTGTTTCCAATCTGCTCCGCCTAAAGGAAGCTTCAACTCTGTGAGTTGAATACCCACAACACAAAGAAGTTACTGAGAATTCTTCTGTCTAGCATTATATGAAGAAATCCCGTTTCCAACGAAGGCCTCAAATACATCCAAATATCCAGTGGCTGACTTTACAAACTGAGTGTTTCCAAACTGCTCTATGAAAGGAAAGGTTAAACACTGTGAGTTGAACACACACGTACCAAAGTAGTTTCTGAGAATGATTCTGTCTAGTTTGCATACGAAGGATATTTCCTTTTCTACCATTGGCCTCAAAGCTTTGAAATCTCCACTTGCAAATTCCACAAAAAGAGAGTTTCAACTCTGCTGTTTCTAAAGGAAAGTTCAACTCTGAGAGTTGAATACACACCAGAAAAAGCAGTTACTGAGAAGTCTTCTGTCTAGCATTATATGAAGAAATCCCATTTCCAACGAAGACTTCAAAGAGGTCCAAATATCCACTTGCAGATTCTGCAAAAAGAGTGTTTCGAAACAACTGTATGAAAAGAAAGGTTAAACACTGTGAGTTGAACGCACACATTGCAAAGCAGTTTCTGAGAATGATTCCGTCTAATTATTATACGAAGGTATTTCCTTTTCTATCATTGGCCTCAAAGCGCTTGATACCTCCACCTGAAAATTCCACAAAAAGAGTGTTTCCAATCTACTCTGTCTAAAGGAACGTTCAACTCTGTGAGTTGAATACACACACACAGAAAGAATTCACTGAGAATTCTTCTGTCTGGCATTACATGAAGAAATCCCGTTTCCAACGAAGGCCTCAAAGAGGTCCAAATATCCACTTGCAGATTCTGCAAAAAGAGTGTTTCAAAACCGCTCCATTAAAAGGAATGTTGAACTCTGTGAGTTGAATGGAAACATCACAACTCAGTTGCTGAGAATGCTTCTGACTAGTATTTTATAGTAAGATATTTCCTTTTCTACCGTAGGCTTCAATGCCCTCTAAATACACCCTTGCAATTTCTACAAAGAGACTGTTTCATAACTGCTCTATAGGAAGAAAGGTTCAACTCTGTGTGTTGAATGCAGAGATCACAACGTGGTTTCTGCGAATGATTCTTTGTAGTTTTTACATGAAGATATTTCGTTGTCTACCGTAGGCTTCAAAGCACTCAAAGTATTCACTTGGAACTTTTACAAAAAGAGTGTTAGAAAACTGCTCTTTCCAAAGTAAGGTTCAACTTCTGTGAGTTGAATGCACACATAACAAACAAGAAGTTTCTGAGAATTCTTCTGTCCTGGTTTATATGAAGAAATCCCGTTTCCAACGAAGGCCTCAAAGACGTTTAAATATCCACTTGCAGACTTCACAAACAGAGTGTTTCCAAACTGCTCTATGAAAAGAAAGGGTAAACACTGTGAGTTGAACGCACACCTCACAAAGTAGTTTCTGAGAATGATACTGTCTAGTTTTTATACGAAGATATTTCCTTTTGTACCATTGGCCTCATACTGCTAGAATTTTCCACTTGCAAATTCCACAAAAAGAGTGTTTCCAATCTGCTCTGTCTAAAGGAAGGTTCAACTCTGTGAGTTGAGTACACACACACAAAGAAGCTACTGAGAATTCTTTTGTCAAGAATTATAAGAAGAAATCCCGTTTCCAACCAAGGCCTCAAAGAGTTCCAAATATCCACTTGCACACTGCACAAACTAAGTCTTTCCATACTGCTCTATGCAAAGAAATGTTCAACTCTGTGAGTTTAATACACACATCACAAAGCAGTTTCTGAGAATGATACTGTCTAGTTTTTATACGAAGATATTTCCTTTTGTACCATTGGCCTCATACTGCTAGAATTTTCCACTTGCAAATTCCACAAAAAGAGTGTTTCCAATCCGCTCTGTCTAAAGGAAGGTTCAACTCTCTGATTTGAATACATACATCCCAAAAGAAGTTACTGAGAATTCTTCTGTCTAGCATTATGTGAAGAAATCCCGTTTCCAACGAAAGCCTCAAAGAGGCCCAAATATCCAGTTGCAGCATTTACAAACTGACTGTTTCCAAACTCATCTATGAAAAGAAAGGTTAAACTCTGTGAGTTGAATGCACATATCACAAAGTAGTTCCTGAGAATGATTCTGTCTAGTTTTTATACGAAGATATTTCCTTTTCCACCAATGGCCTCAAAGTGCTTGAAATCTCCCCTTGCAAATTAAACAGACAAGTGTCTCAAATCTGCACTGTCTAAAGGAAGGTTCAACCCTGTGAGTTGAATACACACACACAGAAAAAAATTCACTGAGAATTCTATTGTCTATCATTACACGAAGAAATCCCGTTTACTACGAAGGCCTCAAAGAGGTCCAAATATCCAGCTGCAGACATTACAAACTGAGTGTTTCCAAAGTGCTCTATGAAAAGAAGTGTTAAACACTGTGAGTTCAATGCACACATCCCAAAGCAGTTTCTGAGAATGATTCCGTCTATTTTTTCTACGAAGATATTTCCTTTTCTACCGTTGGCCTCAAAGCGCTTGAAATCTCCACTTGCAAATTCCACAAAAAGAGAGTTTCAAATCTGCTCTGTCTAAAGGAAGGTTCAACTCTGTGAGTTGAATACACACCACAAAAAGAAGTTACTGAGAATTCTTCTGTCTAGCATTATATGAAAAATCCCGTTTCCAACGAAGGCCACAAAGAGGTCCAAATATCCACTTGCAGATTCTGCAAAAAGAGTGTTTCCAAACTGCTCTATGAAAAGAAACGTTAAACTCTGTGAGTTGAACGCAAACATCACAAAGTAGTTTCTGAGAATGACTCCGTCTAGTTTTTATACGAAGATATTTCCTTTTCTACCATTCACTTCAAAGCGCTTGAAGTCTCCCCCTGAAAATTCCACAAAAAGTGTTTCCAATCTGCTCCGCCTAAAGGAAGCTTCAACTCTGTGAGTTGAATACCCACAACCCAAAGAAGTTACTGAGAATTCTTCTGTCTAGCACTATATGAAGAAATCCCGTTTCCAACGAAGGCCTCAAATACATCCAAATATCCAGTTGCTGACTTTACAAACTGAGTGTTTCCAAACTGCTCTATGAAAAGAAAGGTTAAACACTGTGAGTTGAACACACACGTACCAAAGTAGTTTCTGAGAATGATTCTGTCTAGTTTGCATACGAAGATATTTCCTTTTCTACCATTGGCCTCAAAGCTTTGAAATCTCCACTTGCAAATTCCACAAAAAGAGAGTTTCAACTCTGCTGTTTCTAAAGGAAAGTTCAACTCTGAGAGTTGAATACACACCAGAAAAAGCAGTTACTGAGAAGTCTTCTGTCTAGCATTATATGAAGAAATCCCATTTCCAACGAAGACTTCAAAGAGGTCCAAATATCCACTTGCAGATTCTGCAAAAAGAGTGTTTCGAAACAACTGTATGAAAAGAAAGGTTAAACACTGTGAGTTGAACGCACACATTGCAGAGCAGTTTCTGAGAATGATTCCGTCTAATTATTATACGAAGGTATTTCCTTTTCTATCATTGGCCTCAAAGCGCTTGATACCTCCACCTGAAAATTCCACAAAAAGAGTGTTTCCAATCTACTCTGTCTAAAGGAACGTTCAACTCCGTGAGTTGAATACACACACACAGAAAGAATTCACTGAGAATTCTTCTGTCTGGCATTACATGAAGAAATCCCGTTTCCAACGAAGGCCTCAAAGAGGTCCAAATATCCACTTGCAGATTCTGCAAAAAGAGTGTTTCAAAACCGCTCCATTAAAAGGAATGTTGAACTCTGTGAGTTGAATGCAAACATCACAACTCAGTTTCTGAGAATGCTTCTGACTAGATTTTATGGTAAGATATTTCCTTTTCTACCATAGGCTTCAATGCCCTGTAAATACACCCTTGCAAATTCAACAAAGAGACTGTTTCATAACTGCTCTATAGGAGGAAAGGTTCAACTCTGTGAGTTGAATGCAGAGATCACAACGTGGTTTCTGCGAATGATTCTTTGTAGTTTTTACATGAAGATATTTCGTTGTCTACCGTAAGGCTTCAAAGCACTCAAAGTATTCACTTGGAAATTTAAAAAAAAGAGTGTTAGAAAACTGCTCTTTCCAAAGTAAGGTTCAACTCTGTGAGTTGAATGCACACATAACAAACAAGAAGTTTCTGAGAATTCTTCTGTCCTGGTTTATATGAAGAAATCCCGTTTCCAACGAAGGCCTCAAAGACGTTTAAATATCCACTTGCAGACTTCACAAACAGAGTGTTTCCAAACTGCTCTATGAAAAGAAAGGGTAAACACTGTGAGTTGAACGCACACCTCACAAAGTAGTTTCTGAGAATGATACTGTCTAGTTTTTATACGAAGATATTTCCTTTTGTACCATTGGCCTCATACTGCTAGAATTTTCCACTTGCAAATTCCACAAAAAGAGTGTTTCCAATCTGCTCTGTCTAAAGGAAGGTTCAACTCTGTGAGTTGAGTACACACACACAAAGAAGCTACTGAGAATTCTTCTGTCTGGCATTACATGAAGAAATCCCGTTTCCAACGAAGGCCTCAAAGAGTTCCAAATATCCACTTGCACACTGCACAAACTAAGTCTTTCCAAACTGCTCTATGCAAAGAAATGTTCAACTCTGTGAGTTTAATACACACATCACAAAGCAGTTTCTGAGAATGATACTGTCTAGTTTTTATACGAAGATATTTCCTTTTGTACCATTGGCCTCATAATGCTAGAGTTTTCCACTTGCAAATTCCACAAAAAGAGTGTTTCCAATCCGCTCTGTCTAAAGGAAGGTTCAACTCTCTGATTTGAATACATACATCCCAAAAGAAGTTACTGAGAATTCTTCTGTCTAGCATTATGTGAAGAAATCCCGTTTCCAACGAAAGCCTCAAAGAGGTCCAAATATCCAGTTGCAGAATTTACAAACTGACTGTTTCCAAACTCATCTATGAAAAGAAAGGTTAAACTCTGTGAGTTGAATGCACATATCACAAAGTAGTTCCTGAGAATGATTCTGTCTAGTTTTTATACGAAGATATTTCCTTTTCCACCAATGGCCTCAAAGTGCTTGAAATCTCCCCTTGCAAATTCCACAGACAAGTGTTTCAAATCTACACTGTCTAAAGGAAGGTTCAACCCTGTGAGTTGAATACACACGCACAGAAAAAAATTCACTGAGAATTCTATTGTCTATCATGACACGAAGAAATCCCGTTTACTACGAAGGCCTCAAAGAGGTCCAAATATCCAGCTGCAGACATTACAAACTGAGTGTTTCCAAAGTGCTCTATGAAAAGAAGTGTTAAACACTGTGAGTTCAATGCACACATCCCAAAGCAGTTTCTGAGAATGATTCCGTCTATTTTTTCTACGAAGATATTTACTTTTCTACCGTTGGCCTCAAAGCGCTTGAAATCTCCACTTGCAAATTCCACAAAAAGAGAGTTTCAAATCTGCTCTGTCTAAAGGAAGGTTCAACTCTGTGAGTTGAATACACACCACAAAAAGAAGTTACTGAGAATTCTTCTGTCTAGCATTATATGAAAAATCCCGTTTCCAACGAAGGCCACAAAGAGGTCCAAATATCCACTTGCAGATTCTGCAAAAAGAGTGTTTCCAAACTGCTCTATGAAAAGAAACGTTAAACTCTGTGAGTTGAACGCAAACATCACAAAGTAGTTTCTGAGAATGACTCCGTCTAGTTTTTATACGAAGATATTTCCTTTTCTACCATTCACTTCAAAGCGCTTGAAGTCTCCCCCTGAAAATTCCACAAAAAGTGTTTCCAATCTGCTCCGCCTAAAGGAAGCTTCAACTCTGTGAGTTGAATACCCACAACCCAAAGAAGTTACTGAGAATTCTTCTGTCTAGCACTATATGAAGAAATCCCGTTTCCAACGAAGGCCTCAAATACATCCAAATATCCAGTTGCTGACTTTACAAACTGAGTGTTTCCAAACTGCTCTATGAAAAGAAAGGTTAAACACTGTGAGTTGAACACACACGTACCAAAGTAGTTTCTGAGAATGATTCTGTCTAGTTTGCATACGAAGATATTTCCTTTTCTACCATTGGCCTCAAAGCTCTGAAATCTCCACTTGCAAATTCCACAAAAAGAGAGTTTCAAATCTGCTGTTTCTAAAGGAAAGTTCAACTCTGAGAGTTGAATACACACCAGAAAAAGCAGTTACTGAGAAGTCTTCTGTCTAGCATTATATGAAGAAATCCCATTTCCAACGAAGACTTCAAAGAGGTCCAAATATCCACTTGCAGATTCTGCAAAAAGAGTGTTTCGAAACAACTGTATGAAAAGAAAGGTTAAACACTGTGAGTTGAACGCACACATTGCAAAGCAGTTTCTGAGAATGATTCCGTCTAATTATTATACGAAGGTATTTCCTTTTCTATCATTGGCCTCAAAGCGCTTGATACCTCCACCTGAAAATTCCACAAAAAGAGTGTTTCCAATCTACTCTGTCTAAAGGAACGTTCAACTCTGTGAGTTGAATACACACACACAGAAAGAATTCACTGAGAATTCTTCTGTCTGGCATTACATGAAGAAATCCCGTTTCCAACGAAGGCCTCAAAGAGGTCCAAATATCCACTTGCAGATTCTGCAAAAAGAGTGTTTCAAAACCGCTCCATTAAAAGGAATGTTGAACTCTGTGAGTTGAATGCAAACATCACAACTCAGTTGCTGAGAATGCTTCTGAGTAGATTTTATGGTAAGATATTTCCTTTTCTACCGTAGGCTTCAATGCCCTCTAAATACACCCTTGCAAATTCTACAAAGAGACTGTTTCATAACTGCTCTACAGGAAGAAAGGTTCAACTCTGTGAGTTGAATGCAGAGATCACAACGTGGTTTCTGCGAATGATTCTTTGTAGTTTTTACATGAAGATATTTCGTTGTCAACCGTAGGCTTCAAAGCACTCAAAGTATTCACTTGGAACTTTTACAAAAAGAGTGTTAGAAAACTGCTCTTTCCAAAGTAAGGTTGAACTCTGTGAGTTGAATGCACACATAACAATCAAGAAGTTTCTGAGAATTCTTCTGTCCTGGTTTATATGAAAAAATCCCGTTTCCAACGAAGGCCTCAAAGACGTTTAAATATCCACTTGCAGACTTCACAAACAGAGGGTTTCCAAACTGCTCTATGAAAAGAAAGGTTAAACTCTGTGAGTTGAACGCACACATCACAAAGTAGCTTCTGAGAATGATACTGTCTAGTTTTTATACGAAGATATTTCCTTTCTACCATTGGCGTCAAAGCGCTAGAATTCTCCACTTGCAAATTCCACAAAAAGAGTGTTTCCAATCTGCTCTGTCTAAAGGAAGGTTCAACTCTGTGAGTTGAATACACACACACAAAGAAGCTACTGAGAATTCTTTTTTCAAGAAATTATAAGAAGAAATCCCGTTTCCAACGAAGGCCTCAAAGAGTTCCAAATATCCACTTGCACACTGCACAAACTAAGTCTTTCCAAACTGCTCTATGCAAAGAAATGTTCAACTCTGTGAGTTTAATACACACATCACAAAGCAGTTTCTGAGAATGATACTGTCTAGTTTTTATACGAAGATATTTCCTTTTGTACCATTGGCCTCATACTGCTAGAATTTTCCACTTGCAAATTCCACAAAAAGAGTGTTTCCAATCCGCTCTGTCTAAAGGAAGGTTCAACTCTCTGATTTGAATACATACATCCCAAAAGAAGTTACTGAGAATTCTTCTGTCTAGCATTATGTGAAGAAATCCCGTTTCCAACGAAAGCCTCAAAGAGGTCCAAATATCCAGTGGCAGAATTTACAAACTGACTGTTTCCAAACTCATCTATGAAAAGAAAGGTTAAACTCTGGGAGTTGAATGCACATATCACAAAGTAGTTCCTGAGAATGATTCTGTCTAGTTTTTATACGAAGATATTTCCTTTTCCACCAATGGCCTCAAAGTGCTTGAAATCTCCCCTTGCAAATTCCACAGACAAGTGTTTCAAATCTGCACTGTCTAAAGGAAGGTTCAACCCTGTGAGTTGAATACACACACACAGGAAAAAATTGACTGAGAATTCTATTGTCTATCATTACACGAAGAAATCCCGTTTACTACGAAGGCCTCAAAGAGGTCCAAATATCCAGCTGCAGACATTACAAACTGAGTGTTTCCAAAGTGCTCTATGAAAAGAAGTGTTAAACACTGTGAGTTCAATGCACACATCCCAAAGCAGTTTCTGAGAATGATTCCGTCTATTTTTTCTACGAAGATATTTCCTTTTCTGCCGTTGGCCTCAAAGCGCTTGAAATCTCCACTTGCAAATTCCACAAAAAGAGAGTTTCAAATCTGCTCTGTCTAAAGGAAGGTTCAACTCTGTGAGTTGAATACACACCACAAAAAGAAGTTACTGAGAATTCTTCTGTCTAGCATTATATGAAAAATCCCGTTTCCAACGAAGGCCACAAAGAGGTCCAAATATCCACTTGCAGATTCTGCAAAAAGAGTGTTTCCAAACTGCTCTATGAAAAGAAACGTTAAACTCTGTGAGTTGAACGCAAACATCACAAAGTAGTTTCTGAGAATGACTCCGTCTAGTTTTTATACGAAGATATTTCCTTTCCTACCATTCACTTCAAAGCGCTTGAAGTCTCCCCCTGAAAATTCCACAAAAAGTGTTTCCAATCTGCTCCGCCTAAAGGAAGCTTCAACTCTGTGACTTGAATACCCACAACCCAAAGAAGTTACTGAGAATTCTTCTGTCTAGCATTATATGAAGAAATCCCGTTTCCAACGAAGGCCTCAAATACATCCAAATATCCAGTTGCTGACTTTACAAACTGAGTGTTTCCAAACTGCTCTATGAAAAGAAAGGTTAAACACTGTGAGTTGAACACACACGTACCAAAGTAGTTTCTGAGAATGATTCTGTCTAGTTTGCATACGAAGATATTTCCTTTTCTACCATTGGCCTCAAAGCTCTGAAATCTCCACTTGCAAATTCCACAAAAAGAGAGTTTCAAATCTGCTGTTTGTAAAGGAAAGTTCAACTCTGAGAGTTGAATACACACCAGAAAGAGCAGTTACTGAGAAGTCTTCTGTCTAGCATTATATGAAGAAATCCCATTTCCAACGAAGACTTCAAAGAGGTCCAAATATCCACTTGCAGATTCTGCAAAAAGAGTGTTTCGAAACAACTGTATGAAAAGAAAGGTTAAACACTGTGAGTTGAACGCACACATTGCAAAGCAGTTTCTGAGAATGATTCCGTCTAATTATTATACGAAGGTATTTCCTTTTCTATCATTGGCCTCAAAGCGCTTGATACCTCCACCTGAAAATTCCACAAAAAGAGTGTTTCCAATCTACTCTGTCTAAAGGAACGTTCAACTCTGTGAGTTGAATACACACACACAGAAAGAATTCACTGAGAATTCTTCTGTCTGGCATTACATGAAGAAATCCCGTTTCCAACGAAGGCCTCAAAGAGGTCCAAATATCCACTTGCAGATTCTGCAAAAAGAGTGTTTCAAAACCGCTCCATTAAAAGGAATGTTGAACTCTGTGAGTTGAATGCAAACATCACAACTCAGTTTCTGAGAATGCTTCTGACTAGATTTTATGGTAAGATATTTCCTTTTCTACCGTAGGCTTCAATGCCCTCTAAATACACCCTTGCAAATTCTACAAAGAGACTGTTTCATAACTGCTCTATAGGAAGAAAGGTTGAACTCTGTGAGTTGACTGCAGAGATCACAACGTGGTTTCTGCGAATGATTCTTTGTAGTTTTTACATGAAGATATTTCGTTGTCAACCGTAGGCTTCAAAGCACTCAAAGTATTCACTTGGAACTTTTACAAAAAGAGTGTTAGAAAACTGCTCTTTCCAAAGTAAGGTTCAACTCTGTGAGTTGAATGCACACATAACAATCAAGAAGTTTCTGAGAATTCTTCTGTCCTGGTTTATATGAAAAAATCCCGTTTCCAACGAAGGCCTCAAAGACGTTTAAATATCCACTTGCAGACTTCACAAACAGAGGGTTTCCAAACTGCTCTATGAAAAGAAAGGTTAAACTCTGTGAGTTGAACGCACACATCACAAAGTAGCTTCTGAGAATGATACTGTCTAGTTTTTATACGAAGATATTTCCTTTCTACCATTGGCGTCAAAGCGCTAGAATTCTCCACTTGCAAATTCCACAAAAAGAGTGTTTCCAATCTGCTCTGTCTAAAGGAAGGTTCAACTCTGTGAGTTGAATACACACACACAAAGAAGCTACTGAGAATTCTTTTTTCAAGAAATTATAAGAAGAAATCCCGTTTCCAACGAAGGCCTCAAAGAGTTCCAAATATCCACTTGCACACTGCAAAAACTAAGTCTTTCCAAACTGCTCTATGCAAAGAAATGTTCAACTCTGTGAGTTTAATACACACATCACAAAGCAGTTTCTGAGAATGATTCCGTCTAGTTTTTATACGAAGATAGCCTTTTCTACCATTGGCCTCAAGGTTATTGAAATCTCCACCTGAAAATTCCACAAAAAGCGTGTTTCCAATCCGCTCTGTCTAAGGGAAGGTTCAACTCTCTGAGTTGAATACATACATCCCAAAAGAAGTTACTGAGAATTCTTCTGTCTAGCATTATGTGAAGAAATCCCGTTTCCAACGAAAGCCTCAAAGAGGTCCAAATATCCAGTTGCAGAATTTACAAACTGACTCTTTCCAAACTCATCTATGAAAAGAAAGGTTAAACTCTGTGAGTTGAATGCACATATCACAAAGTAGTTCCTGAGAATGATTCTGTCTAGTTTTTATACGAAGATATTCCCTTTTCCACCAATGGCCTCAAAGTGCTTGAAATCTCCCCTTGCAAATTCCACAGACAAGTGTTTCAAATCTGCACTGTCTAAAGGAAGGTTCAACCCTGTGAGTTGAATACACACACACAGAAAAAAATTCACTGAGAATTCTATTGTCTATCATTACACGAAGAAATCCCGTTTACCACGAATGCCTCAAAGAGGTCCAAATATCCAGTTGCAGACAATACAAACTGAGTGTTTCCAAAGTGCTCTATGAAAAGAAGTGTTAAACACTGTGAGTTCAATGCACACATCACAAAGCAGTTTCTGAGAATGATTCCGTCTATTTTTTCTACGAAGATATTTCCTTTTCTACCGTTGGCCTCAAAGCACTTGAATTCTCCACTTGCAAATACCACAAAAAGAGAGTTTCAAATCTGCTGTTTCTAAAGGAAGGTTCAAATCTGAGAGTTGAATACACACCAGAAAAAGCAGTTACTGAGAAGTCTTCTGTCTAGCATTATATGAAGAAATCCCATTTCCAACCGAAGACTTCAAAGAGGTCCAAATATCCACTTGCAGATTCTGCAAAAAGAGTGTTTCGAAACAACTCTATGAAAAGAAAGGTTAAACACTGTGAGTTGAACGCACACATTGCAAAGCGGTTTCTGAGAATGATTCCGTCTAATTATTATACGAAGGTATTTCCTTTTCTATCATTGGCCTCAAAGCGCTTGATACCTCCACCTGAAAATTCCACAAAAAGAGTGTTTCCAATCTACTCTGTCTAAAGGAACGTTCAACTCTGTGAGTTGAATACACACACACAGAAAGAATTCACTGAGAATTCTTCTGTCTGGCATTACATGAAGAAATCCCGTTTCCAACGAAGGCCTCAAAGAGGTCCAAATATCCACTTGCAGATTCTGCAAAAAGAGTGTTTCAAAACCGCTCCATTAAAAGGAATGTTGAACTCTGTGAGTTGAATGCAAACATCACAACTCAGTTTCTGAGAATGCTTCTGACTAGATTTTATGGTAAGATATTTCCTTTTATACCGTAGGCTTCAATGCCCTCTAAATACACCCTTGCAAATTCTACAAAGAGACTGTTTCATAACTGCTCTATAGGAAGAAAGGTTCAACTCTGTGAGTTGAATGCAGAGATCACAACGTGGTTTCTGCGAATGATTCTTTGTAGTTTTTACAGGAAGATATTTCGTTGTCAACCGTAGGCTTCAAAGCACTCAAAGTATTCACTTGGAACTTTTCCAAAAAGAGTGTTAGAAAACTGCTCTTTCCAAAGTAAGGTTCAACTCTGTGAGTTGAATGCACACATAACAATCAAGAAGTTTCTGAGAATTCTTCTGTCCTGGTTTATATGAAAAAATCCCGTTTCCAACGAAGGCCTCAAAGACGTTTAAATATCCACTTGCAGACTTCACAAACAGAGTGTTTCCAAACTGCTCTATGAAAAGAAAGGTTAAACTCTGTGAGTTGAACGCACACATCACAAAGTAGCTTCTGAGAATGATACTGTCTAGTTTTTATACGAAGATATTTCCTTTCTACCATTGGTGTCAAAGCGCTAGAATTCTCCACTTGCAAATTCCACAAAAAGAGTGTTTCCAATCTGCTCTGTCTAAAGGAAGGTTCAACTCTGTGAGTTGAATACACACACACAAAGAAGCTACTGAGAATTCTTTTGTCAAGAATTATAAGAAGAAATCCCGTTTCCAACCAAGGCCTCAAAGAGTTCCAAATATCCACTTGCACACTGCACAAACTAAGTCTTTCCAAACTGCTCTATGCAAAGAAATGTTCAACTCTGTGAGTTTAATACACACATCACAAAGCAGTTTCTGAGAATGATACTGTCTAGTTTTTATACGAAGATATTTCCTTTTGTACCATTGGCCTCATACTGCTAGAATTTTCCACTTGCAAATTCCACAAAAAGAGTGTTTCCAATCCGCTCTGTCTAAAGGAAGGTTCAACTCTCTGATTTGAATACATACATCCCAAAAGAAGTTACTGAGAATTCTTCTGTCTAGCATTATGTGAAGAAATCCCGTTTCCAACGAAAGCCTCAAAGAGGTACAAATATCCAGTTGCAGAATTTACAAACTGACTGTTTCCAAACTCATCTATGAAAAGAAAGGTTAAACTCTGTGAGTTGAATGCACATATCACAAAGTAGTTCCTGAGAATGATTCTGTCTAGTTTTCATACGAAGATATTTCCTTTTCCACCAATGGCCTCAAAGTGCTTGAAATCTCCCCTTGCAAATTCCACAGACAAGTGTTTCAAATCTGCACTGTCTAAAGGAAGGTTCAACCCTGTGAGTTGAATACACACACACAGAAAAAAATTCACTGAGAATTCTATTGTCTATCATTACACGAAGAAATCCCGTTTACTACGAAGGCCTCAAAGAGGTCCAAATATCCACTTGCAGATTCTGCAAAAAGAGTGTTTCCAAACTGCTCTATGAAAAGAAACGTTAAACTCTGTGAGTTGAACGCAAACATCACAAAGTAGTTTCTGAGAATGACTCCGTCTAGTTTTTATACGAAGATATTTCCTTTCCTACCATTCACTTCAAAGCGCTTGAAGTCTCCCCCTGAAAATTCCACAAAAAGTGTTTCCAATCTGCTCCGCCTAAAGGAAGCTTCAACTCTGTGACTTGAATACCCACAACCCAAAGAAGTTACTGAGAATTCTTCTGTCTAGCATTATATGAAGAAATCCCGTTTCCAACGAAGGCCTCAAATACATCCAAATATCCAGTTGCTGACTTTACAAACTGAGTGTTTCCAAACTGCTCTATGAAAAGAAAGGTTAAACACTGTGAGTTGAACACACACGTACCAAAGTAGTTTCTGAGAATGATTCTGTCTAGTTTGCATACGAAGATATTTCCTTTTCTACCATTGGCCTCAAAGCTCTGAAATCTCCACTTGCAAATTCCACAAAAAGAGAGTTTCAAATCTGCTGTTTCTAAAGGAAAGTTCAACTCTGAGAGTTGAATACACACCAGAAAAAGCAGTTACTGAGAAGTCTTCTGTCTAGCATTATATGAAGAAATCCCATTTCCAACGAAGACTTCAAAGAGGTCCAAATATCCACTTGCAGATTCTGCAAAAAGAGTGTTTCGAAACAACTGTATGAAAAGAAAGGTTAAACACTGTGAGTTGAACGCACACATTGCAAAGCAGTTTCTGAGAATGATTCCGTCTAATTATTATACGAAGGTATTTCCTTTTCTATCATTGGCCTCAAAGCGCTTGATACCTCCACCTGAAAATTCCACAAAAAGAGTGTTTCCAATCTACTCTGTCTAAAGGAACGTTCAACTCTGTGAGTTGAATACACACACACAGAAAGAATTCACTGAGAATTCTTCTGTCTGGCATTACATGAAGAAATCCCGTTTCCAACGAAGGCCTCAAAGAGGTCCAAATATCCACTTGCAGATTCTGCAAAAAGAGTGTTTCAAAACCGCTCCATTAAAAGGAATGTTGAACTCTGTGAGTTGAATGCAAACATCACAACTCAGTTGCTGAGAATGCTTCTGACTACATTTTATGGTAAGATATTTCCTTTTCTACCGTAGGCTTCAATGCCCTCTAAATACACCCTTGCAAATTCTACAAAGAGACTGTTTCATAACTGCTCTATAGGAAGAAAGGTTCAACTCTGTGAGTTGAATGCAGAGATCACAACGTGGTTTCTGCGAATGATTCTTTGTAGTTTTTACATGAAGATATTTCGTTGTCAACCGTAGGCTTCAAAGCACTCAAAGTATTCACTTGGAACTTTTACAAAAAGAGTGTTAGAAAACTGCTCTTTCCAAAGTAAGGTTCAACTCTGTGAGTTGAATGCACACATAACAATCAAGAAGTTTCTGAGAATTCTTCTGTCCTGGTTTATATGAAAAAATCCCGTTTCCAACGAAGGCCTCAAAGACGTTTAAATATCCACTTGCAGACTTCACAAACAGAGGGTTTCCAAACTGCTCTATGAAAAGAAAGGTTAAACTCTGTGAGTTGAACGCACACATCACAAAGTAGCTTCTGAGAATGATACTGTCTAGTTTTTATACGAAGATATTTCCTTTCTACCATTGGCGTCAAAGCGCTAGAATTCTCCACTTGCAAATTCCACAAAAAGAGTGTTTCCAATCTGCTCTGTCTAAAGGAAGGTTCAACTCTGTGAGTTGAATACACACACACAAAGAAGCTACTGAGAATTCTTTTGTCAAGAATTATAAGAAGAAATCCCGTTTCCAACGAAGGCCTCAAAGAGTTCCAAATATCCACTTGCACACTGCACAAACTAAGTCTTTCCAAACTGCTCTATGCAAAGAAATGTTCAACTCTGTGAGTTTAATACACACATCACAAAGCAGTTTCTGAGAATGATACTGTCTAGTTTTTATACGAAGATATTTCCTTTTGTACCATTGGTCTCATACTGCTAGAATTTTCCACATGCAAATTCCACAAAAAGAGTGTTTCCAATCCGCTCTGTCTAAAGGAAGGTTCAACTCTCTGATTTGAATACATACATCCCAAAAGAAGTTACTGAGAATTCTTCTGTCTAGCATTATGTGAAGAAATCCCGTTTCCAACGAAAGCCTCAAAGAGGTCCAAATATCCAGTTGCAGAATTTACAAACTGACTGTTTCCAAACTCATCTATGAAAAGAAAGGTTAAACTCTGGGAGTTGAATGCACATATCACAAAGTAGTTCCTGAGAATGATTCTGTCTAGTTTTCATACGAAGATATTTCCTTTTCCACCAATGGCCTCAAAGTGCTTGAAATCTCCCCTTGCAAATTCCACAGACAAGTGTTTCAAATCTGCACTGTCTAAAGGAAGGTTCAACCCTGTGAGTTGAATACACACACACAGAAAAAAATTCACTGAGAATTACATTGTCTATCATTACACGAAGAAATCCCGTTTACTACGAAGGCCTCAAAGAGGTCCAAATATCCAGCTGCAGACATTACAAACTGAGTGTTTCCAAAGTGCTCTATGAAAAGAAGTGTTAAACACTGTGAGTTCAATGCACACATCCCAAAGCAGTTTCTGAGAATGATTCCGTCTATTTTTTCTACGAAGATATTTCCTTTTCTGCCGTTGGCCTCAAAGCGCTTGAAATCTCCACTTGCAAATTCCACAAAAAGAGAGTTTCAAATCTGCTCTGTCTAAAGGAAGGTTCAACTCTGTGAGTTGAATACACACCACAAAAAGAAGTTACTGAGAATTCTTCTGTCTAGCATTATATGAAAAATCCCGTTTCCAACGAAGGCCACAAAGAGGTCCAAATATCCACTTGCAGATTCTGCAAAAAGAGTGTTTCCAAACTGCTCTATGAAAAGAAACGTTAAACTCTGTGAGTTGAACGCAAACATCACAAAGTAGTTTCTGAGAATGACTCCGTCTAGTTTTTATACGAAGATATTTCCTTTCCTACCATTCACTTCAAAGCGCTTGAAGTCTCCCCCTGAAAATTCCACAAAAAGTGTTTCCAATCTGCTCCGCCTAAAGGAAGCTTCAACTCTGTGACTTGAATACCCACAACCCAAAGAAGTTACTGAGAATTCTTCTGTCTAGCACTATATGAAGAAATCCCGTTTCCAACGAAGGCCTCAAATACATCCAAATATCCAGTTGCTGACTTTACAAACTGAGTGTTTCCAAACTGCTCTATGAAAAGAAAGGTTAAACACTGTGAGTTGAACACACACGTACCAAAGTAGTTTCTGAGAATGATTCTGTCTAGTTTGCATACGAAGATATTTCCTTTTCTACCAGTGGCCTCAAAGCTCTGAAATCTCCACTTGCAAATTCCACAAAAAGAGAGTTTCAAATCTGCTGTTTCTAAAGGAAAGTTCAACTCTGAGAGTTGAATACACACCAGAAAAAGCAGTTACTGAGAAGTCTTCTGTCTAGCATTATATGAAGAAATCCCATTTTCAACGAAGACTTCAAAGAGGTCCAAATATCCACTTGCAGATTCTGCAAAAAGAGTGTTTCGAAACAACTGTATGAAAAGAAAGGTTAAACACTGTGAGTTGAACGCACACATTGCAAAGCAGTTTCTGAGAATGATTCCGTCTAATTATTATACGAAGGTATTTCCTTTTCTATCATTGGCCTCAAAGCGCTTGATACCTCCACCTGAAAATTCCACAAAAAGAGTGTTTCCAATCTACTCTGTCTAAAGGAACGTTCAACTCTGTGAGTTGAATACACACACACAGAAAGAATTCACTGAGAATTCTTCTGTCTGGCATTACATGAAGAAATCCCGTTTCCAACGAAGGCCTCAAAGAGGTCCAAATATCCACTTGCAGATTCTGCAAAAAGAGTGTTTCAAAACCGCTCCATTAAAAGGAATGTTGAACTCTGTGAGTTGAATGCAAACATCACAACTCAGTTTCTGAGAATGCTTCTGACTAGATTTTATGGTAAGATATTTCCTTTTCTACCGTAGGCTTCAATGCCCTCTAAATACACCCTTGCAAATTCTACAAAGAGACTGTTTCATAACTGCTCTATAGGAAGAAAGGTTCAACACTGTGAGTTGAATGCAGAGATCACAACGTGGTTTCTGCGAATGATTCTTTGTAGTTTTTACATGAAGATATTTCGTTGTCAACCGTAGGCTTCAAAGCACTCAAAGTATTCACTTGGAACTTTTACAAAAAGAGTGTTAGAAAACTGCTCTTTCCAAAGTAAGGTTCAACTCTGTGAGTTGAATGCACACATAACAATCAAGAAGTTTCTGAGAATTCTTCTGTCCTGGTTTATATGAAAAAATCCCGTTTCCAACGAAGGCCTCAAAGACGTTTAAATATCCACTTGCAGACTTCACAAACAGAGGGTTTCCAAACTGCTCTATGAAAAGAAAGGTTAAACTCTGTGAGTTTAATACACACATCACAAAGCAGTTTCTGAGAATGATACTGTCTAGTTTTTATACGAAGATATTTCCTTTTGTACCATTGGCCTCATACTGCTAGAATTTTCCACTTGCAAATTCCACAAAAAGAGTGTTTCCAATCCGCTCTGTCTAAAGGAAGGTTCAACTCTCTGATTTGAATACATACATCCCAAAAGAAGTTACTGAGAATTCTTCTGTCTAGCATTATGTGAAGAAATCCCGTTTCCAACGAAAGCCTCAAAGAGGTCAAAATATCCAGTTGCAGAATTTACAAACTGACTGTTTCCAAACTCATCTATGAAAAGAAAGGTTAAACTCTGGGAGTTGAATGCACATATCACAAAGTAGTTCCTGAGAATGATTCTGTCTAGTTTTCATACGAAGATATTTCCTTTTCCACCAATGGCCTCAAAGTGCTTGAAATCTCCCCTTGCAAATTCCACAGACAAGTGTTTCAAATCTGCACTGTCTAAAGGAAGGTTCAACCCTGTGAGTTGAATACACACACACAGAAAAAAATTCACTGAGAATTCTATTGTCTATCATTACACGAAGAAATCCCGTTTACTACGAAGGCCTCAAAGAGGTCCAAATATCCAGCTGCAGACATTACAAACTGAGTGTTTCCAAAGTGCTCTACGAAAAGAAGTGTTAAACACTGTGAGTTCAATGCACACATCCCAAAGCAGTTTCTGAGAATGATTCCGTCTATTTTTTCTACGAAGATATTTCCTTTTCTGCCGTTGGCCTCAAAGCGCTTGAAATCTCCACTTGCAAATTCCACAAAAAGAGAGTTTCAAATCTGCTCTGTCTAAAGGAAGGTTCAACTCTGTGAGTTGAATACACACACACAGAAAGAATTCACTGAGAATTCTTCTGTCTGGCATTACATGAAGAAATCCCGTTTCCAACGAAGGCCTCAAAGACGTCCAAATATCCACTTGCAGATTCTGCAAAAAGAGTGTTTCAAAACCGCTCCATTAAAAGGAATGTTGAACTCTGTGAGTTGAATGCAAACATTACAACTCAGTTGCTGAGAATGCTTCTGACTAGATTTTATAGTAAGATATTTCCTTTTCTACCGTAGGCTTCAATGCCCTCTAAATACACCCTTGCAATTTCTACAAAGAGACTGTTTCATAACTGCTCTATAGGAAGAAAGGTTCAACTCTGTGAGTTGAATGCAGAGATCACAACGTGGTTTCTGCGAATGATTCTTTGTAGTTTTTACATGAAGATATTTCGTTGTCAACCGTAGGCTTCAAAGCACTCAAAGTATTCACTTGGAACTTTTACAAAAAGAGTGTTAGAAAACTGCTCTTTCCAAAGTAAGGTTCAACTCTGTGAGTTGAATGCACACATAACAATCAAGAAGTTTCTGAGAATTCTTCTGTCCTGGTTTATATGAAAAAATCCCGTTTCCAACGAAGGCCTCAAAGACGTTTAAATATCCACTTGCAGACTTCACAAACAGAGGGTTTCCAAACTGCTCTATGAAAAGAAAGGTTAAACTCTGTGAGTTGAACGCACACATCACAAAGTAGCTTCTGAGAATGATACTGTCTAGTTTTTATACGAAGATATTTCCTTTCTACCATTGGCGTCAAAGCGCTAGAATTCTCCACTTGCAAATTCCACAAAAAGAGTGTTTCCAATCTGCTCTGTCTAAAGGAAGGTTCAACTCTGTGAGTTGAATACACACACACAAAGAAGCTACTGAGAATTCTTTTGTCAAGAATTATAAGAAGAAATCCCGTTTCCAACGAAGGCCTCAAAGAGTTCCAAATATCCACTTGCACACTGCACAAACTAAGTCTTTCCAAACTGCTCTATGCAAAGAAATGTTCAACTCTGTGAGTTTAATACACACATCACAAAGCAGTTTCTGAGAATGATACTGTCTAGTTTTTATACGAAGATATTTCCTTTTGTACCATTGGCCTCATACTGCTAGAATTTTCCACTTGCAAATTCCACAAAAAGAGTGTTTCCAATCCGCTCTGTCTAAAGGAAGGTTCAACTCTCTGATTTGAATACATACATCCCAAAAGAAGTTACTGAGAATTCTTCTGTCTAGCATTATGTGAAGAAATCCCGTTTCCAACGAAAGCCTCAAAGAGGTCCAAATATCCAGTGGCAGAATTTACAAACTGACTGTTTCCAAACTCATCTATGAAAAGAAAGGTTAAACTCTGTGAGTTGAATGCACATATCACAAAGTAGTTCCTGAGAATGATTCTGTCTAGTTTTTATACGAAGATATTTCCTTTTCCACCAATGGCCTCAAAGTGCTTGAAATCTCCCCTTGCAAATTCCACAGACAAGTGTTTCAAATCTGCACTGTCTAAAGGAAGGTTCAACCCTGTGAGTTGAATACACACACACAGAAAAAAATTCACTGAGAATTCTATTGTCTATCATTACACGAAGAAATCCCGTTTACTACGAAGGCCTCAAAGAGGTCCAAATATCCAGCTGCAGACATTACAAACTGAGTGTTTCCAAATTGCTCTATGAAAAGAAGTGTTAAACACTGTGAGTTCAATGCACACATCCCAAAGCAGTTTCTGAGAATGATTCCGTCTATTTTTTCTACGCAGATATTTCCTTTTCTGCCGTTGGCCTCAAAGCGCTTGAAATCTCCACTTGCAAATTCCACAAAAAGAGAGTTTCAAATCTGCTCTGTCTAAAGGAAGGTTCAACTCTGTGAGTTGAATACACACCACAAAAAGAAGTTACTGAGAATTCTTCTGTCTAGCATTATATGAAAAATCCCGTTTCCAACGAAGGCCACAAAGAGGTCCAAATATCCACTTGCAGATTCTGCAAAAAGAGTGTTTCCAAACTGCTCTATGAAAAGAAACGTTAAACTCTGTGAGTTGAACGCAAACATCACAAAGTAGTTTCTGAGAATGACTCCGTCTAGTTTTTATACGAAGATATTTCCTTTCCTACCATTCACTTCAAAGCGCTTGAAGTCTCCCCCTGAAAATTCCACAAAAAGTGTTTCCAATCTGCTCCGCCTAAAGGAAGCTTCAACTCTGTGACTTGAATACCCACAACCCAAAGAAGTTACTGAGAATTCTTCTGTCTAGCACTATATGAAGAAATCCCGTTTCCAACGAAGGCCTCAAATACATCCAAATATCCAGTTGCTGACTTTACAAACTGAGTGTTTCCAAACTGCTCTATGACAAGAAAGGTTAAACACTGTGAGTTGAACACACACGTACCAAAGTAGTTTCTGAGAATGATTCTGTCTAGTTTGCATACGAAGATATTTCCTTTTCTACCATTGGCCTCAAAGCTCTGAAATCTCCACTTGCAAATTCCACAAAAAGAGAGTTTCAAATCTGCTGTTTGTAAAGGAAAGTTCAACTCTGAGAGTTGAATACACACCAGAAAGAGCAGTTACTGAGAAGTCTTCTGTCTAGCATTATATGAAGAAATCCCATTTCCAACGAAGACTTCAAAGAGGTCCAAATATCCACTTGCAGATTCTGCAAAAAGAGTGTTTCGAAACAACTGTATGAAAAGAAAGGTTAAACACTGTGAGTTGAACGCACACATTGCAAAGCAGTTTCTGAGAATGATTCCGTGTAATTATTATACGAAGGTATTTCCTTTTCTATCATTGGCCTCAAAGCGCTTGATACCTCCACCTGAAAATTCCACAAAAAGAGTGTTTCCAATCTACTCTGTCTAAAGGAACGTTCAACTCTGTGAGTTGAATACACACACACAGAAAGAATTCACTGAGAATTCTTCTGTCTGGCATTACATGAAGAAATCCCGTTTCCAACGAAGGCCTCAAAGAGATCCAAATATCCACTTGCAGATTCTGCAAAAAGAGTGTTTCAAAACCGCTCCATTAAAAGGAATGTTGAACTCTGTGAGTTGAATGCAAACATCACAACTCAGTTTCTGAGAATGCTTCTGACTAGATTTTATGGTAAGATATTTCCTTTTCTACCGTAGGCTTCAATGCCCTCTAAATACACCCTTGCAAATTCTACAAAGAGACTGTTTCATAACTGCTCTATAGGAAGAAAGGTTGAACTCTGTGAGTTGAATGCAGAGATCACAACGTGGTTTCTGCGAATGATTCTTTGTAGTTTTTACATGAAGATATTTCGTTGTCAACCGTAGGCTTCAAAGCACTCAAAGTATTCACTTGGAACTTTTACAAAAAGAGTGTTAGAAAACTGCTCTTTCCAAAGTAAGGTTCAACTCTGTGAGTTGAATGCACACATAACAATCAAGAAGTTTCTGAGAATTCTTCTGTCCTGGTTTATATGAAAAAATCCCGTTTCCAACGAAGGCCTCAAAGACGTTTAAATATCCACTTGCAGACTTCACAAACAGAGGGTTTCCAAACTGCTCTATGAAAAGAAAGGTTAAACTCTGTGAGTTGAACGCACACATCACAAAGTAGCTTCTGAGAATGATACTGTCTAATTTTTATACGAAGATATTTCCTTTCTACCATTGGCGTCAAAGCGCTAGAATTCTCCACTTGCAAATTCCACAAAAAGAGTGTTTCCAATCTGCTCTGTCTAAAGGAAGGTTCAACTCTGTGAGTTGAATACACACACACAAAGAAGCTACTGAGAATTCTTTTGTCAAGAATTATAAGAAGAAATCCCGTTTCCAACGAAGGCCTCAAAGAGTTCCAAATATCCACTTGCACACTGCACAAACTAAGTCTTTCCAAACTGCTCTATGCAAAGAAATGTTCAACTCTGTGAGTTTAATACACACATCACAAAGCAGTTTCTGAGAATGATACTGTCTAGTTTTTATACGAAGATATTTCCTTTTGTACCATTGGCCTCATACTGCTAGAATTTTCCACTTGCAAATTCCACAAAAAGAGTGTTTCCAATCCGCTCTGTCTAAAGGAAGGTTCAACTCTCTGATTTGAATACATACATCCCAAAAGAAGTTACTGAGAATTCTTCTGTCTAGCATTATGTGAAGAAATCCCGTTTCCAACGAAAGCCTCAAAGAGGTCCAAATATCCAGTTGCAGAATTTACAAACTGACTGTTTCCAAACTCATCTATGAAAAGAAAGGTTAAACTCTGTGAGTTGAATGCACATATCACAAAGTAGTTCCTGAGAATGATTCTGTCTAGTTTTTATACGAAGATATTTCCTTTTCCACCAATGGCCTCAAAGTGCTTGAAATCTCCCCTTGCAAATTCCACAGACAAGTGTTTCAAATCTGCACTGTCTAAAGGAAGGTTCAACCCTGTGAGTTGAATACACACACACAGAAAAAAATTCACTGAGAATTCTATTGTCTATCATTACACGAAGAAATCCCGTTTACTACGAAGGCCTCAAAGAGGTCCAAATATCCAGCTGCAGACATTACAAACTGAGTGTTTCCAAAGTGCTCTATGAAAAGAAGTGTTAAACACTGTGAGTTCAATGCACACATCCCAAAGCAGTTTCTGAGAATGATTCCGTCTATTTTTTCTACGAAGATATTTCCTTTTCTGCCGTTGGCCTCAAAGCGCTTGAAATCTCCACTTGCAAATTCCACAAAAAGAGAGTTTCAAATCTGCTCTGTCTAAAGGAAGGTTCAACTCTGTGAGTTGAATACACACCACAAAAAGAAGTTACTGAGAATTCTTCTGTCTAGCATTATATGAAAAATCCCGTTTCCAACGAAGGCCACAAAGAGGTCCAAATATCCACTTGCAGATTCTGCAAAAAGAGTGTTTCCAAACTGCTCTATGAAAAGAAACGTTAAACTCTGTGAGTTGAACGCAAACATCACAAAGTAGTTTCTGAGAATGACTCCGTCTAGTTTTTATACGAAGATATTTCCTTTCCTACCATTCACTTCAAAGCGCTTGAAGTCTCCCCCTGAAAATTCCACAAAAAGTGTTTCCAATCTGCTCCGCCTAAAGGAAGCTTCAACTCTGTGAGTTGAATACCCACAACCCAAAGAAGTTACTGAGAATTCTTCTGTCTAGCATTATATGAAGAAATCCCGTTTCCAACGAAGGCCTCAAATACATCCAGATATCCAGTTGCTGACTTTACAAACTGAGTGTTTCCAAACTGCTCTATGAAAAGAAAGGTTAAACACTGTGAGTTGAACACACACGTACCAAAGTAGTTTCTGAGAATGATTCTGTCTAGTTTGCATACGAAGATATTTCCTTTTCTACCATTGGCCTCAAAGCTCTGAAATCTCCACTTGCAAATTCCACAAAAAGAGAGTTTCAAATCTGCTGTTTCTAAAGGAAAGTTCAACTCTGAGAGTTGAATACACACCAGAAAAAGCAGTTACTGAGAAGTCTTCTGTCTAGCATTATATGAAGAAATCCCATTTCCAACGAAGACTTCAAAGAGGTCCAAATATCCACTTGCAGATTCTGCAAAAAGAGTGTTTCGAAACAACTGTATGAAAAGAAAGGTTAAACACTGTGAGTTGAACGCACACATTGCAAAGCAGTTTCTGAGAATGATTCCGTCTAATTATTATACGAAGGTATTTCCTTTTCTATCATTGGCCTCAAAGCGCTTGATACCTCCACCTGAAAATTCCACAAAAAGAGTGTTTCCAATCTACTCTGTCTAAAGGAACGTTCAACTCTGTGAGTTGAATACACACACACAGAAAGAATTCACTGAGAATTCTTCTGTCTGGCATTACATGAAGAAATCCCGTTTCCAACGAAGGCCTCAAAGAGGTCCAAATATCCACTTGCAGATTCTGCAAAAAGAGTGTTTCAAAACCGCTCCATTAAAAGGAATGTTGAACTCTGTGAGTTGAATGGACACATCACAACTCAGTTGCTGAGAATGCTTCTGACTAGATTTTATGGTAAGATATTTCCTTTTCTACCGTAGGCTTCAATGCCCTCTAAATACACCCTTGCAAATTCTACAAAGAGACTGTTTCACAACTGCTCTATAGGAAGAAAGGTTCAACTCTGTGAGTTGAATGCAGAGATCACAACGTGGTTTCTGCGAATGATTCTTTGTAGTTTTTACATGAAGAATATTTCGTTGTCTACCGTAGGCTTCAAAGCACTCAAAGTATTCACTTGGAACTTTTACAAAAAGAGTGTTAGAAAACTGCTCTTTCCAAAGTAAGGTTCAACTCTGTGAGTTGAATGCACACATAACAAACAAGAAGTTTCTGAGAATCCTTCTGTCCTGGTTTATATGAAGAAATCCCGTTTCCAACGAAGGCCTCAAAGACGTTTAAATATCCACTTGCAGACTTCACAAACAGAGTGTTTCCAAACTGCTCTATGAAAAGAAAGGTTAAACTCTGTGAGTTGAACGCACACATCACAAAGGAGTTTCTGAGAATGATACTGTCTAGTTTTTATACGAAGATATTTCCTGTCTACCATTGGCGTCAAAGCGCTAGAATTCTCCACTTGCAAATTCCACAAAAAGAGTGTTTCCAATCTGCTCTGTCTAAAGGAAGGTTCAACTCTGTGAGTTGAATACACACACACAAAGAAGCTACTGAGAATTCTTTTGTCAAGAATTATAAGAAGAAATCCCGTTTCCAACGAAGGCCTCAAAGAGTTCCAAATATCCACTTGCACACTGCACAAACTAAGTCTTTCCAAACTGCTCTATGCAAAGAAATGTTCAACTCTGTGAGTTTAATACACACATCACAAAGCAGTTTCTGAGAATGATACTGTCTAGTTTTTATACGAAGATATTTCCTTTTGTACCATTGGCCTCATACTGCTAGAATTTTCCACTTGCAAATTCCACAAAAAGAGTGTTTCCAATCCGCTCTGTCTAAAGGAAGGTTCAACTCTCTGATTTGAATACATACATCCCAAAAGAAGTTACTGAGAATTCTTCTGTCTAGCATTATGTGAAGAAATCCCGTTTCCAACGAAAGCCTCAAAGAGGTCCAAATATCCAGTTGCAGAATTTACAAACTGACTGTTTCCAAACTCATCTATGAAAAGAAAGGTTAAACTCTGGGAGTTGAATGCACATATCACAAAGTAGTTCCTGAGAATGATTCTGTCTAGTTTTCATACGAAGATATTTCCTTTTCCACCAATGGCCTCAAAGTGCTTGAAATCTCCCCTTGCAAATTCCACAGACAAGTGTTTCAAATCTGCACTGTCTAAAGGAAGGTTCAACCCTGTGAGTTGAATACACACACACAGAAAAAAATTCACTGAGAATTCTATTGTCTATCATTACACGAAGAAATCCCGTTTACCACGAAGGCCTCAAAGAGGTCCAAATATCCAGCTGCAGACATTACAACCTGAGTGTTTCCAAAGTGCTCTATGAAAAGAAGTGTTAAACACTGTGAGTTCAATGCACACATCCCAAAGCAGTTTCTGAGAATGATTCCGTCTATTTTCTCTACGAAGATATTTCCTTTTCTGCCGTTGGCCTCAAAGCGCTTGAAATCTCCACTTGCAAATTCCACAAAAAGAGAGTTTCAAATCTGCTCTGTCTAAAGGAAGGTTCAACTCTGTGAGTTGAATACACACCACAAAAAGAAGTTACTGAGAATTCTTCTGTCTAGCATTATATGAAAAATCCCGTTTCCAACGAAGGCCACAAAGAGGTCCAAATATCCACTTGCAGATTCTGCAAAAAGAGTGTTTCCAAACTGCTCTATGAAAAGAAACGTTAAACTCTGTGAGTTGAACGCAAACATCACAAAGTAGTTTCTGAGAATGACTCCGTCTAGTTTTTATACGAAGATATTTCCTTTCCTACCATTCACTTCAAAGCGCTTGAAGTCTCCCCCTGAAAATTCCACAAAAAGTGTTTCCAATCTGCTCCGCCTAAAGGAAGCTTCAACTCTGTGACTTGAATACCCACAACCCAAAGAAGTTACTGAGAATTCTTCTGTCTAGCATTATATGAAGAAATCCCGTTTCCAACGAAGGCCTCAAATACATCCAAATATCCAGTTGCTGACTTTACAAACTGAGTGTTTCCAAACTGCTCTATGAAAAGAAAGGTTAAACACTGTGAGTTGAACACACACGTACCAAAGTAGTTTCTGAGAATGATTCTGTCTAGTTTGCATACGAAGATATTTCCTTTTCTACCATTGGCCTCAAAGCTCTGAAATCTCCACTTGCAAATTCCACAAAAAGAGAGTTTCAAATCTGCTGTTTCTAAAGGAAAGTTCAACTCTGAGAGTTGAATACACACCAGAAAAAGCAGTTACTGAGAAGTCTTCTGTCTAGCATTATATGAAGAAATCCCATTTCCAACGAAGACTTCAAAGAGGTCCAAATATCCACTTGCAGATTCTGCAAAAAGAGTGTTTCGAAACAACTGTATGAAAAGAAAGGTTAAACACTGTGAGTTGAACGCACACATTGCAAAGCAGTTTCTGAGAACGATTCCGTCTAATTATTATACGAAGGTATTTCCTTTTCTATCATTGGCCTCAAAGCGCTTGATACCTCCACCTGAAAATTCCACAAAAAGAGTGTTTCCAATCTACTCTGTCTAAAGGAACGTTCAACTCTGTGAGTTGAATACACACACACAGAAAGAATTCACTGAGAATTCTTCTGTCTGGCATTACATGAAGAAATCCCGTTTCCAACGAAGGCCTCAAAGAGGTCCAAATATCCACTTGCAGATTCTGCAAAAAGAGTGTTTCAAAACCGCTCCATTAAAAGGAATGTTGAACTCTGTGAGTTGAATGCAAACATCACAACTCAGTTTCTGAGAATGCTTCTGACTAGATTTTATGGTAAGATATTTCCTTTTCTACCGTAGGCTTCAATGCCCTCTAAATACACCCTTGCAAATTCTACAAAGAGACTGTTTCATAACTGCTCTATAGGAAGAAAGGTTCAACTCTGTGAGTTGAATGCAGAGATCACAACGTGGTTTCTGTGAATGATTCTTTGTAGTTTTTACATGAAGATATTTCGTTGTCAACCGTAGGCTTCAAAGCACTCAAAGTATTCACTTGGAACTTTTACAAAAAGAGTGTTAGAAAACTGCTCTTTCCAAAGTAAGGTTCAACTCTGTGAGTTGAATGCACACATAACAATCAAGAAGTTTCTGAGAATTCTTCTGTCCTGGTTTATATGAAAAAATCCCGTTTCCAACGAAGGCCTCAAAGACGTTTAAATATCCACTTGCAGACTTCACAAACAGAGGGTTTCCAAACTGCTCTATGAAAAGAAAGGTTAAACTCTGTGAGTTGAACGCACACATCACAAAGTAGCTTCTGAGAATGATACTGTCTAGTTTTTATACGAAGATATTTCCTTTCTACCATTGGCGTCAAAGTGCTAGAATTCTCCACTTGCAAATTCCACAAAAAGAGTGTATCCAATCTGCTCTGTCTAAAGGAAGGTTCAACTCTGTGAGTTGAATACACACACACAAAGAAGCTACTGAGAATTCTTTTGTCAAGATTTATAAGAAGAAATCCCGTTTCCAACGAAGGCCTCAAAGAGTTCCAAATATCCACTTGCACACTGCACAAACTAAGTCTTTCCAAACTGCTCTATGCAAAGAAATGTTCAACTCTGTGAGTTTAATACACACATCACAAAGCAGTTTCTGAGAATGATACTGTCTAGTTTTTATACGAAGATATTTCCTTTTGTACCATTGGCCTCATACTGCTAGAATTTTCCACTTGCAAATTCCACAAAAAGAGTGTTTCCAATCCGCTCTGTCTAAAGGAAGGTTCAACTCTCTGATTTGAATACATACATCCCAAAAGAAGTTACTGAGAATTCTTCTGTCTAGCATTATGTGAAGAAATCCCGTTTCCAACGAAAGCCTCAAAGAGGTCCAAATATCCAGTTGCAGAATTTACAAACTGACTGTTTCCAAACTCATCTATGAAAAGAAAGGTTAAACTCTGTGAGTTGAATGCACATATCACAAAGTAGTTCCTGAGAATGATTCTGTCTAGTTTTCATACGAAGATATTTCCTTTTCCACCAATGGCCTCAAAGTGCTTGAAATCTCCCCTTGCAAATTCCACAGACAAGTGTTTCAAATCTGCACTGTCTAAAGGAAGGTTCAACCCTGTGAGTTGAATACACACACACAGAAAAAAATTCACTGAGAATTCTATTGTCTATCATTACACGAAGAAATCCCGTTTACTACGAAGGCCTCAAAGAGGTCCAAATATCCAGCTGCAGACATTACAAACTGAGTGTTTCCAAAGTGCTCTATGAAAAGAAGTGTTAAACACTGTGAGTTCAATGCACACATCCCAAAGCAGTTTCTGAGAATGATTCCGTCTATTTTTTCTACGAAGATATTTCCTTTTCTGCCGTTGGCCTCAAAGCGCTTGAAATCTCCACTTGCAAATTCCACAAAAAGAGAGTTTCAAATCTGCTCTGTCTAAAGGAAGGTTCAACTCTGTGAGTTGAATACACACCACAAAAAGAAGTTACTGAGAATTCTTCTGTCTAGCATTATATGAAAAATCCCGTTTCCAACGAAGGCCACAAAGAGGTCCAAATATCCACTTGCAGATTCTGCAAAAAGAGTGTTTCCAAACTGCTCTATGAAAAGAAACGTTAAACTCTGTGAGTTGAACGCAAACATCACAAAGTAGTTTCTGAGAATGACTCCGTCTAGTTTTTATACGAAGATATTTCCTTTCCTACCATTCACTTCAAAGCGCTTGAAGTCTCCCCCTGAAAATTCCACAAAAAGTGTTTCCAATCTGCTCCGCCTAAAGGAAGCTTCAACTCTGTGACTTGAATACCCACAACCCAAAGAAGTTACTGAGAATTCTTCTGTCTAGCATTATATGAAGAAATCCCGTTTCCAACGAAGGCCTCAAATACATCCAAGTATCCAGTTGCTGACTTTACAAACTGAGTGTTTCCAAACTGCTCTATGAAAAGAAAGGTTAAACACTGTGAGTTGAACACACACGTACCAAAGTAGTTTCTGAGAATGATTCTGTCTAGTTTGCATACGAAGATATTTCCTTTTCTACCATTGGCCTCAAAGCTCTGAAATCTCCACTTGCAAATTCCACAAAAAGAGAGTTTCAACTCTGCTGTTTCTAAAGGAAAGTTCAACTCTGAGAGTTGAATACACACCAGAAAAAGCAGTTACTGAGAAGTCTTCTGTCTAGCATTATATGAAGAAATCCCATTTCCAACGAAGACTTCAAAGAGGTCCAAATATCCACTTGCAGATTCTGCAAAAAGAGTGTTTCGAAACAACTGTATGAAAAGAAAGGTTAAACACTGTGAGTTGAACGCACACATTGCAAAGCAGTTTCTGAGAATGATTCCGTCTAATTATTATACGAAGGTATTTCCTTTTCTATCATTGGCCTCAAAGCGCTTGATACCTCCACCTGAAAATTCCACAAAAAGAGTGTTTCCAATCTACTCTGTCTAAAGGAACGTTCAACTCTGTGAGTTGAATACACACACACAGAAAGAATTCACTGAGAATTCTTCTGTCTGGCATTACATGAAGAAATCCCGTTTCCAACGAAGGCCTCAAAGAGGTCCAAATATCCACTTGCAGATTCTGCAAAAAGAGTGTTTCAAAACCGCTCCATTAAAAGGAATGTTGAACTCTGTGAGTTGAATGCAAACATCACAACTCAGTTTCTGAGAATGCTTCTGACTAGATTTTATGGTAAGATATTTCCTTTTCTACCGTAGGCTTCAATGCCCTCTAAATACACCCTTGCAAATTCTACAAAGAGACTGTTTCATAACTGCTCTATAGGAAGAAAGGTTCAACTCTGTGAGTTGAATGCAGAGATCACAACGTGGTTCTGCGAATGATTCTTTGTAGTTTTTACATGAAGGATATTTCGTTGTCAACCGTAGGCTTCAAAGCACTCAAAGTATTCACTTGGAACTTTTACAAAAAGAGTGTTAGAAAACTGCTCTTTCCAAAGTAAGGTTCAACTCTGTGAGTTGAATGCACACATAACAATCAAGAAGTTTCTGAGAATTCTTCTGTCCTGGTTTATATGAAGAAATCCCGTTTCCAACGAAGGCCTCAAAGACGTTTAAATATCCACTTGCAGACTTCACAAACAGAGGGTTTCCAAACTGCTCTATGAAAAGAAAGGTTAAACTCTGTGAGTTGAACGCACACATCACAAAGTAGCTTCTGAGAATGATACTGTCTAGTTTTTATACGAAGATATTTCCTTTCTACCATTGGCGTCAAAGCGCTAGAATTCTCCACTTGCAAATTCCACAAAAAGAGTGTTTCCAATCTGCTCTGTCTAAAGGAAGGTTCAACTCTGTGAGTTGAATACACACACACAAAGAAGCTACTGAGAATTCTTTTGTCAAGAATTACAAGAAGAAATCCCGTTTCCAACGAAGGCCTCAAAGAGTTCCAAATATCCACTTGCACACTGCACAAACTAAGTCTTTCCAAACTGCTCTATGCAAAGAAATGTTCAACTCTGTGAGTTTAATACGCACATCACAAAGCAGTTTCTGAGAATGATACTGTCTAGTTTTTATACGAAGATATTTCCTTTTGTACCATTGGCCTCATACTGCTAGAATTTTCCACTTGCAAATTCCACAAAAAGAGTGTTTCCAATCCGCTCTGTCTAAAGGAAGGTTCAACTCTCTGATTTGAATACATACATCCCAAAAGAAGTTCCTGAGAATTCTTCTGTCTAGCATTATGTGAAGAAATCCCGTTTCCAAAGAAAGCCTCAAAGAGGTCCAAATATCCAGTTGCAGAATTTACAAACTGACTGTTTCCAAACTCATCTATGAAAAGAAAGGTTAAACTCTGGGAGTTGAATGCACATATCACAAAGTAGTTCCTGAGAATGATTCTGTCTAGTTTTCATACGAAGATATTTCCTTTTCCACCAATGGCCTCAAAGTGCTTGAAATCTCCCCTTGCAAATTCCACAGACAAGTGTTTCAAATCTGCACTGTCTAAAGGAAGGTTCAACCCTGTGAGTTGAATACACACACACAGAAAAAAATTCACTGAGAATTCTATTGTCTATCATTACACGAAGAAATCCCGTTTACCACGAAGGCCTCAAAGAGGTCCAAATATCCAGCTGCAGACATTACAAACTGAGTGTTTCCAAAGTGCTCTATGAAAAGAAGTGTTAAACACTGTGAGTTCAATGCACACATCCCAAAGCAGTTTCTGAGAATGATTCCGTCTATTTTTTCTACGAAGATATTTCCTTTTCTGCCGTTGGCCTCAAAGCGCTTGAAATCTCCACTTGCAAATTCCACAAAAAGAGAGTTTCAAATCTGCTCTGTCTAAAGGAAGGTTCAACTCTGTGAGTTGAATACACACCACAAAAAGAAGTTACTGAGAATTCTTCTGTCTAGCATTATATGAAAAATCCCGTTTCTAACGAAGGCCACAAAGAGGTCCAAATATCCACTTGCAGATTCTGCAAAAAGAGTGTTTCCAAACTGCTCTATGAAAAGAAACGTTAAACTCTGTGAGTTGAACGCAAACATCACAAAGTAGTTTCTGAGAATGACTCCGTCTAGTTTTTATACGAAGATATTTCCTTTCCTACCATTCACTTCAAAGCGCTTGAAGTCTCCCCCTGAAAATTCCACAAAAAGTGTTTCCAATCTGCTCCGCCTAAAGGAAGCTTCAACTCTGTGAGTTGAATACCCACAACCCAAAGAAGTTACTGAGAATTCTTCTGTCTAGCACTATATGAAGAAATCCCGTTTCCAACGAAGGCCTCAAATACATCCAAATATCCAGTTGCTGACTTTACAAACTGAGTGTTTCCAAACTGCTCTATGAAAAGAAAGGTTAAACACTGTGAGTTGAACACACACGTACCAAAGTAGTTTCTGAGAATGATTCTGTCTAGTTTGCATACGAAGATATTTCCTTTTCTACCATTGGCCTCAAAGCTTTGAAATCTCCACTTGCAAATTCCACAAAAAGAGAGTTTCAACTCTGCTGTTTCTAAAGGAAAGTTCAACTCTGAGAGTTGAATACACACCAGAAAAAGCAGTTACTGAGAAGTCTTCTGTCTAGCATTATATGAAGAAATCCCATTTCCAACGAAGACTTCAAAGAGGTCCAAATATCCACTTGCAGATTCTGCAAAAAGAGTGTTTCGAAACAACTGTATGAAAAGAAAGGTTAAACACTGTGAGTTGAACGCACACATTGCAGAGCAGTTTCTGAGAATGATTCCGTCTAATTATTATACGAAGGTATTTCCTTTTCTATCATTGGCCTCAAAGCGCTTGATACCTCCACCTGAAAATTCCACAAAAAGAGTGTTTCCAATCTACTCTGTCTAAAGGAACGTTCAACTCTGTGAGTTGAATACACACACACAGAAAGAATTCACTGAGAATTCTTCTGTCTGGCATTACATGAAGAAATCCCGTTTCCAACGAAGGCCTCAAAGAGGTCCAAATATCCACTTGCAGATTCTGCAAAAAGAGTGTTTCAAAACCGCTCCCATTAAAAGGAATGTTGAACTCTGTGAGTTGAATGCAAACATCACAACTCAGTTGCTGAGAATGCTTCTGACTAGATTTTATGGTAAGATATTTCCTTTTCTACCGTAGGCTTCAATGCCCTCTAAATACACCCTTGCAAATTCTACAAAGAGACTGTTTCATAACTGCTCTATAGGAAGAAAGGTTCAACTCTGTGAGTTGAATGCAGAGATCACAACGTGGTTTCTGCGAATGATTCTTTGTAGTTTTTACATGAAGATATTTCGTTGTCAACCGTAGGCTTCAAAGCACTCAAAGTATTCACTTGGAACTTTTACAAAAAGAGTGTTAGAAAACTGCTCTTTCCAAAGTAAGGTTCAACTCTGTGAGTTGAATGCACACATAACAATCAAGAAGTTTCTGAGAATTCTTCTGTCCTGGTTTATAGGAAAAAATCCCGTTTCCAACGAAGGCCTCAAAGACGTTTAAATATCCACTTGCAGACTTCACAAACAGAGTGTTTCCAAACTGCTCTATGAAAAGAAAGGTTAAACTCTGTGAGTTGAACGCACACATCACAAAGTAGTTTCTGAGAATGATACTGTCTAGTTTTTATACGAAGATATTTCCTTTCTACCATTGGCGTCAAAGCGCTAGAATTCTCCACTTGCAAATTCCACAAAAAGAGTGTTTCCAATCTGCTCTGTCTAAAGGAAGGTTCAACTCTGTGAGTTGAATACACACACACAAAGAAGCTACTGAGAATTCTTTTGTCAAGAATTATAAGAAGAAATCCCGTTTCCAACGAAGGCCTCAAAGAGTTCCAAATATCCACTTGCACACTGCACAAACTCTTTCCACACTGCTCTATGCAAAGAAATGTTCAACTCTGTGAGTTTAATACACACATCACAAAGCAGTTTCTGAGAATGATACTGTCTAGTTTTTATACGAAGATATTTCCTTTTGTACCATTGGCCTCATACTGCTAGAATTTTCCACTTGCAAATTCCACAAAAAGAGTGTTTCCAATCCGCTCTGTCTAAAGGAAGGTTCAACTCTCTGATTTGAATACATACATCCCAAAAGAAGTTACTGAGAATTCTTCTGTCTAGCATTATGTGAAGAAATCCCGTTTCCAACGAAAGCCTCAAAGAGGCCCAAATATCCAGTTGCAGCATTTACAAACTGACTGTTTCCAAACTCATCTATGAAAAGAAAGGTTAAACTCTGTGAGTTGAATGCACATATCACAAAGTAGTTCCTGAGAATGATTCTGTCTAGTTTTTATACGAAGATATTTCCTTTTCCACCAATGGCCTCAAAGTGCTTGAAATCTCCCCTTGCAAATTCCACAGAAAAGTGTTTCAAATCTGCACTGTCTGAAGGAAGGTTCAACCCTGTGAGTTGAATACACACACACAGAAAGAAATTCACTGAGAATTACATTGTCTATCAGTACACGAAGAAATCCCGTTTACTACGAAGGCCTCAAAGAGGTCCAAATATCCAGCTGCAGACATTACAAACTGAGTGTTTCCAAAGTGCTCTATGAAAAGAAGTGTTAAACACTGTGAGTTCAATGCACACATCCCAAAGCAGTTTCTGAGAATGATTCCGTCTATTTTTTCTACGAAGATATTTCCTTTTCTACCGTTGGCCTCAAAGCGCCTGAAATCTCCACTTGCAAATTCCACGAAAAGAGAGTTTCAAATCTGCTCTGTCTAAAGGAAGGTTCCACTCTGTGAGTTGAATACACACCACAAAAAGAAGTTACTGAGAATTCTTCTGTCTAGCATTATATGAAAAATCCCGTTCCCAACGAAGGCCACAAAGAGGTCCAAATATCCACTTGCAGATTCTGCAAAAAGAGTGTTTCCAAACTGCTCTATGAAAAGAAACGTTAAACTCTGTGAGTTGAACGCAAACATCACAAAGAAGTTTCTGAGAATGACTCCGTCTAGTTTTTATACGAAGATATTTCCTTTTCTACCGTTGGCCTCAAAGCGCTTGAAGTCTCCCCCTGAAAATTCCACAAAAAGTGTTTCCAATCTGCTCCGCCTAAAGGAAGCTTCAACTCTGTGAGTTGAATACCCACAACACAAAGAAGTTACTGAGAATTCTTCTGTCTCGCATTATATGAAGAAATCCCGTTTCCAACGAAGGCCTCAAATACATCCACATATCCAGTTGCTGACTTTACAAACTGAGTGTTTCCAAACTGCTCTATGAAAAGAAAGGTTAAACACTGTGAGTTGAACACACACGTACCAAAGTAGTTTCTGAGAATGATTCTGTCTAGTTTGCATACAAAGATATTTCCTTTTCTACCACTGGCCTCAAAGCTTTGAAATCTCCACTTGCAAATTCCACAAAAAGAGAGTTTCAAATCTGCTGTTTCTAAAGGAAAGTTCAACTCTGAGAGTTGAATACACACCAGAAAAAGCAGTTACTGAGAAGTCTTCTGTCTAGCATTATATGAAGAAATCCCATTTCCAAAGAAGACTTCAAACAGGTCCAAATATCCACTTGCAGATTCCGCAAAAAGAGTGTTTCGAAACAACTGTATGAAAAGAAAGGTTAAACACTGTGAGTTGAACGCACCCATTGCAAAGCATTTTCTGAGAATGATTCCGTCTAATTATTATACGAAGGTATTTCCTTTTCTATCATGGGCCTCAAAGCGCTTGATACCTCCACCTGAAAATTCCACAAAAAGAGTGTTTCCAATCTACTCTGTCTAAAGGAACGTTCAACTCTGTGAGTTGAATACACACACACAGAAAGAATTCACTGAGAATTCTTCTGTCTGGCATTACATGAAGAAATCCCGTTTCCAACGAAGGCCTCAAAGAGGTCCAAATATCCACTTGCAGATTCGGCAAAAAGAGTGTTTCAAAACCGCTCCATTAAAAGGAATGTTGAACTCTGTGAGTTGAATGGAAACATCACAACTCAGTTGCTGAGAATGCTTCTGACTAGATTTTATGGTAAGATATTTCCTTTTCTACCGTAGGCTTCAATGCCCTCTAAATACACCCTTGCAAATTCTACAAAGAGACTGTTTCATAACTGCTCTATAGGAAGAAAGGTTCAACTCTGTGAGTTGAATGCAGAGATCACAACGTGGTTTCTGCGAATGATTCTTTGTAGTTTTTACAGGAAGATATTTCGTTGTCAACCGTAGGCTTCAAAGCACTCAAAGTATTCACTTGGAACTTTTACAAAAAGAGTGTTAGAAAACTGCTCTTTCCAAAGTAAGGTTCAACTCTGTGAGTTGAATGCACACATAACAATCAAGAAGTTTCTGAGAATTCTTCTGTCCTGGTTTATATGAAAAAATCCCGTTTCCAACGAAGGCCTCAAAGACGTTTAAATATCCACTTGCAGACTTCACAAACAGAGTGTTTCCAAACTGCTCTATGAAAAGAAAGGTTAAACTCTGTGAGTTGAACGCACACATCACAAAGTAGTTTCTGAGAATGATACTGTCCAGTTTTTATACGAAGATATTTCCTTTCCTACCATTGGCGTCAAAGCGCTAGAATTCTCCACTTGCAAATTCCACAAAAAGAGTGTTTCCAATCTGCTCTGCCTAAAGGAAGGTTCAACTCTGTGAGTTGAATACACACAAACAAAGAAGCTACTGAGAATTCTTTTGTCAAGAATTATAAGAAGAAATCCCGTTTCCAACGAAGGCCTCAAAGAGTTCCAAATATCCACTTGCACACTGCACAAACTAAGTCTTTCCAAACTGCTCTATGCAAAGAAATGTTCAACTCTGTGAGTTTAATTCACACATCACAAAGCAGTTTCTGAGAACGATACTGTCTAGTTTTTATACGAAGATATTTCCTTTTGTACCATTGGCCTCATACTGCTAGAATTTTCCACTTGCAAATTCCACAAAAAGAGTGTTTCCAATCCGCTCTGTCTAAAGGAAGGTTCAACTCTCTGATTTGAATACATACATCCCAAAAGAAGTTACTGAGAATTCTTCTGTCTAGCATTATGTGAAGAAATCCCGTTTCCAACGAAAGCCTCAAAGAGGTCCAAATATCCAGTTGCAGAATTTACAAACTGACTGTTTCCAAACTCATCTATGAAAAGAAAGGTTAAACTCTGTGAGTTGAATGCCCATATCACAAAGTAGTTCCTGAGAATGATTCTGTCTAGTTTTTATACGAAGATATTTCCTTTTCCACCAATGGCTTCAAAGTGCTTGAAATCTCCCCTTGCAAATTCCACAGACAAGTGTTTCAAATCTGCACTGTCTAAAGGAAGGTTCAACCCTGTGAGTTGAATACACACACACAGAAAAAACTTCACTGAGAATTCTATTGTCTATCATTACACGAAGAAATCCCGTTTACTACGAAGGCCTCAAAGAGGCCCAAATATCCAGCTGCAGACATTACAAACTGAGTGTTTCCAAAGTGCTCTATGAAAAGAAGTGTTAAACACTGTGAGTTCAATGCACACATCCCAAAGCAGTTTCTGAGAATGATTCCGTCTATTTTTTCTACGAAGATATTTCCTTTTCTACCGTTGGCCTCAAAGCGCTTTAAATCTCCACTTGCAAATTCCACAAAAAGAGAGTTTGAAATCTGCTCTGTCTAAAGGAAGGTTCAACTCTGTGAGTTGAATACACACCACAAAAAGAAGTTACTGAGAATTCTTCTGTCTAGCATTATATGAAAAATCCCGTTTCCAACGAAGGCCACAAACAGGTCCAAATATCCACTTGCAGATTCTGCAAAAAGAGTGTTTCCAAACTGCTCTATGAAAAGAAACGTTAAACTCTGTGAGTTGAACGCAAACATCACAAAGTAGTTTCTGAGAATGACTCCGTCTAGTTTTTATACGAAGATATTTCCTTTTCTACCATTCACTTCAAAGCGCTTGAAGTCTCCCCCTGAAAATTCCACAAAAAGTGTTTCCAATCTGCTCCGCCTAAAGGAAGCTTCAACTCTGTGAGTTGAATACCCACAACCCAAAGAAGTTACTGAGAATTCTTCTGTCTAACACTATATGAAGAAATCCCGTTTCCAACGAAGGCCTCAAATACATCCAAATATCCAGTTGCTGACTTTACAAACTGGGTGTTTCCAAACTGCTCTATGAAAAGAAAGGTTAAACACTGTGAGTTGAACACACACGTACCAAAGTAGTTTCTGAGAATGATTCTGTCTAGTTTGCATACGAAGATATTTCCTTTTCTACCATTGGCCTCAAAGCTTTGAAATCTCCACTTGCAAATTCCACAAAAAGAGAGTTTCAACTCTGCTGTTTCTAAAGGAAAGTTCAACTCTGAGAGTTGAATACACACCAGAAAAAGCAGTTACTGAGAAGTCTTCTGTCTAGCATTATATGAAGAAATCTCATTTCCAACGAAGACTTCAAAGAGGTCCAAATATCCACTTGCAGATTCTGCAAAAAGAGTGTTTCGAAACAACTGTATGAAAAGAAAGGTTAAACACTGTGAGTTGAACGCACACATTGCAAAGCAGTTTCTGAGAATGATTCCGTCTAATTATTATACGAAGGTATTTCCTTTTCTATCATTGGCCTCAAAGCGCTTGATACCTCCACCTGAAAATTCCACAAAAAGAGTGTTTCCAATCTACTCTGTCTAAAGGAACGTTCAACTCTGTGAGTTGAATACACACACACAGAAAGAATTCACTGAGAATTCTTCTGTCTGGCATTACATGAAGAAATCCCGTTTCCAACGAAGACCTCAAAGAGGTCCAAATATCCACTTGCAGATTCTGCAAAAAGAGTGTTTCAAAACCGCTCCATTAAAAGGAATGTTGAACTCTGTGAGTTGAATGCAAACATCACAACTCAGTTTCTGAGAATGCTTCTGACTAGATTTTATGGTAAGATATTTCCTTTTCTACCGTAGGCTTCAATGCCCTCTAAATACACCCTTGCAAATTCTACAAAGAGACTGTTTCATAACTGCTCTATAGGAAGAAAGGTTGAACTCTGTGAGTTGACTGCAGAGATCACAACGTGGTTTCTGCGAATGATTCTTTGTAGTTTTTACATGAAGATATTTCGTTGTCAACCGTAGGCTTCAAAGCACTCAAAGTATTCACTTGGAACTTTTACAAAAAGAGTGTTAGAAAACTGCTCTTTCCAAAGTAAGGTTCAACTCTGTGAGTTGAATGCACACATAACAATCAAGAAGTTTCTGAGAATTCTTCTGTCCTGGTTTATATGAAAAAATCCCGTTTCCAACGAAGGCCTCAAAGACGTTTAAATATCCACTTGCAGACTTCACAAACAGAGGGTTTCCAAACTGCTCTATGAAAAGAAAGGTTAAACTCTGTGAGTTGAACGCACACATCACAAAGTAGCTTCTGAGAATGATACTGTCTAGTTTTTATACGAAGATATTTCCTTTCTACCATTGGCGTCAAAGCGCTAGAATTCTCCACTTGCAAATTCCACAAAAAGAGTGTTTCCAATCTGCTCTGTCTAAAGGAAGGTTCAACTCTGTGAGTTGAATACACACACACAAAGAAGCTACTGAGAATTCTTTTGTCAAGAATTATAAGAAGAAATCCCGTTTCCAACGAAGGCCTCAAAGAGTTCCAAATATCCACTTGCACACTGCACAAACTAAGTCTTTCCAAACTGCTCTATGCAAAGAAATGTTCAACTCTGTGAGTTTAATACACACATCACAAAGCAGTTTCTGAGAATGATACTGTCTAGTTTTTATACGAAGATATTTCCTTTTGTACCATTGGCCTCATACTGCTAGAATTTTCCACTTGCAAATTCCACAAAAAGAGTGTTTCCAATCCGCTCTGTCTAAAGGAAGGTTCAACTCTCTGATTTGAATACATACATCCCAAAAGAAGTTCCTGAGAATTCTTCTGTCTAGCATTATGTGAAGAAATCCCGTTTCCAACGAAAGCCTCAAAGAGGTCCAAATATCCAGTTGCAGAATTTACAAACTGACTGTTTCCAAACTCATCTATGAAAAGAAAGGTTAAACTCTGTGAGTTGAATGCACATATCACAAAGTAGTTCCTGAGAATGATTCTGTCTAGTTTTCATACGAAGATATTTCCTTTTCCACCAATGGCCTCAAAGTGCTTGAAATCTCCCCTTGCAAATTCCACAGACAAGTGTCTCAAATCTGCACTGTCTAAAGGAAGGTTCAACCCTGTGAGTTGAATACACACACACAGAAAAAAATTCACTGAGAATTCTATTGTCTATCATTACACGAAGAAATCCCGTTTACTACGAAGGCCTCAAAGAGGTCCAAATATCCAGCTGCAGACATTACAACCTGAGTGTTTCCAAAGTGCTCTATGAAAAGAAGTGTTAAACACTGTGAGTTCAATGCACACATCCCAAAGCAGTTTCTGAGAATGATGCCGTCTATTTTTTCTACGAAGATATTTCCTTTTCTGCCGTTGGCCTCAAAGCGCTTGAAATCTCCACTTGCAAATTCCACAAAAAGAGAGTTTCAAATCTGCTCTGTCTAAAGGAAGGTTCAACTCTGTGAGTTGAATACACACCACAAAAAGAAGTTACTGAGAATTGCTTCTGTCTAGCATTATATGAAAAATCCCGTTTCCAACGAAGGCCACAAAGAGGTCCAAATATCCACTTGCAGATTCTGCAAAAAGAGTGTTTCCAAACTGCTCTATGAAAAGAAACGTTAAACTCTGTGAGTTGAACGCAAACATCACAAAGTAGTTTCTGAGAATGACTCCGTCTAGTTTTTATACGAAGATATTTCCTTTCCTACCATTCACTTCAAAGCGCTTGAAGTCTCCCCCTGAAAATTCCACAAAAAGTGTTTCCAATCTGCTCCACCTAAAGGAAGCTTCAACTCTGTGAGTTGAATACCCACAACCCAAAGAAGTTACTGAGAATTCTTCTGTCTAGCATTATATGAAGAAATCCCGTTTCCAACGAAGGCCTCAAATACATCCAAATATCCAGTTGCTGACTTTACAAACTGAGTGTTTCCAAACTGCTCTATGAAAAGAAAGGTTAAACACTGTGAGTTGAACACACACGTACCAAAGTAGTTTCTGAGAATGATTCTGTCTCGTTTGCATACGAAGATATTTCCTTTTCTACCATTGGCCTCAAAGCTTTGAAATCTCCACTTGCAAATTCCACAAAAAGAGAGTTTCAAATCTGCTGTTTCTAAAGGAAAGTTCAACTCTGAGAGTTGAATACACACAATACAAAGAAGTTACGAAGAATTCCTCTGTCTAGCATTATATGAAGAAATCCCATTTCCAACGAAGACTTCAAAGAGGTCCAAATATCCACTTGCAGGTTCTGCAAAAAGAGTGTTTCGAAACAACTGTATGAAAAGAAAGGTTAAACGCTGTGAGTTGAAGGCACACATTGCAAAGCAGTTTCTGAGAATGATTCCGTCTAATTATTATACGAAGGTATTTCCTTTTCTATCATGGGCCTCAAAGCGCTTGATACCTCCACCTGAAAATTCCACAAAAAGAGTGTTTCCAATCTACTCTGTCTAAAGGAACGTTCAAATCTGTGAGTTGAATACACACACACAGAAAGAATTCACTGAGAGTTCTTCTGTCTGGCATTACATGAAGAAATCCCGTTTCCAACGAAGGCCTCAAAGAGGTCCAAATATCCACTTACAGATTCTGCAAAAAGAGTGTTTCAAAACCGCTCCATGAAAAGGAATGTTGAACTCTGTGAGTTGAATGCAAACATCACAACTCAGTTTCTGAGAATGCTTCTGACTAGATTTTATGGTCAGATATTTCCTTTTCTACCGTAGGCTTCAATGCCCTCTAAATACACCCTTGCAAATTCTACAAAGAGACTGTTTAATAACTGCTCTATAGGAAGAAAGGTTGAACTCTGTGAGTTGAATGCAGAGATCACAACGTGGTTTCTGCGAATGATTCTTTGTAGTTTTTACATGAAGATATTTCGTTGTCTACCGTAGGCTTCAAAGCACTCAAAGTATTCACTTGGAACTTTTACAAAAAGAGTGTTAGAAAACTGCTCTTTCCAAAGTAAGGTTCAACTCTGTGAGTTGAATGCACACATAACAAACAAGAAGTTTCTGAGAATTCTTCTGTCCTGGTTTATAGGAAAAAATCCCGTTTCCAACGAAGGCCTCAAAGACGTTTAAATATCCACTTGCAGACTTCACAAACAGAGTGTTTCCAAACTGCTCTATGAAAAGAAAGGTTAAACTCTGTGAGTTGAACGCACACATCACAAAGTAGTTTCTGAGAATGATACTGTCTAGTTTTTATACGAAGATATTTCCTTTCTACCATTGGCGTCAAAGCGCTAGAATTCTCCACTTGCAAATTCCACAAAAAGAGTGTTTTCAATCTGCTCTGTCTAAAGGAAGGTTCAACTCTGTGAGTTGAATACACACACACAAAGAAGCTACTGAGAATTCTTTTGTCAAGAATTATAAGAAGAAATCCCGTTTCCAACGAAGGCCTCAAAGAGTTCCAAATATCCACTTGCACACTGCACAAACTAAGTCTTTCCAAACTGCTCTATGCAAAGAAATGTTCAACTCTGTGAGTTTAATACACACATCACAAAGCAGTTTCTGAGAATGATACTGTCTAGTTTTTATACGAAGATATTTCCTTTTGTACCATTGGCCTCATACTGCTAGAATTTTCCACTTGCAAATTCCACAAAAAGAGTGTTTCCAATCTGCTCTGTCTAAAGGAAGGTTCAACTCTCTGATTTGAATACATACATCCCAAAAGAAGTTACTGAGAATTCTTCTGTCTAGAATTATGTGAAGAAATCCCGTTTCCAACGAAAGCCTCAAAGAGGTCCAAATATCCAGTTGTAGAATTACAAACTGAGTGTTTCCAAACTCCTCTATGAAAAGAAAGGTTAAACTGTGTGAGTTGAATGCACATATCACAAAGTAGTTCCTGAGAATGAATCTGTCTAGTTTTCATACGAAGCATATTTCCTTTTCCACCAATGGCCTCAAAGTGCTTGAAATCTCCCCTTGCAAATTCCACAGACAAGTGTCTCAAATCTGCACTGTCTAAAGGAAGGTTCAACCCTGTGAGTTGAATACACACACACAGAAAAAAATTCACTGAGAATTCTATTGTCTATCATTACACGAAGAAATCCCGTTTACTACGAAGGCCTCAAAGAGGTCCAAATATCCAGCTGCAGACATTACAACCTGAGTGTTTCCAAAGTGCTCTATGAAAAGAAGTGTTAAACACTGTGAGTTCAATGCACACATCCCAAAGCAGTTTCTGAGAATGATTCCGTCTATTTTTTCTACGAAGATATTTCCTTTTCTGCCGTTGGCCTCAAAGCGCTTGAAATCTCCACTTGCAAATTCCACAAAAAGAGAGTTTCAAATCTGCTCTGTCTAAAGGAAGGTTCAACTCTGTGAGTTGAATACACACCACAAAAAGAAGTTACTGAGAATTCTTCTGTCTAGCATTATATGAAAAATCCCGTTTCCAACGAAGGCCACAAAGAGGTCCAAATATCCACTTGCAGATTCTGCAAAAAGAGTGTTTCCAAACTGCTCTATGAAAAGAAACGTTAAACTCTGTGAGTTGAACGCAAACATCACAAAGTAGTTTCTGAGAATGACTCCGTCTAGTTTTTATACGAAGATATTTCCTTTCCTACCATTCACTTCAAAGCGCTTGAAGTCTCCCCCTGAAAATTCCACAAAAAGTGTTTCCAATCTGCTCCGCCTAAAGGAAGCTTCAACTGCTGTGAGTTGAATACCCACAACCCAAAGAAGTTACTGAGAATTCTTCTGTCTAGCACTATATGAAGAAATCCCGTTTCCAACGAAGGCCTCAAATACATCCAAATATCCAGTTGCTGACTTTACAAACTGAGTGTTTCCAAACTGCTCTATGAAAAGAAAGGTTAAACACTGTGAGTTGAACACACACGTACCAAAGTAGTTTGCTGAGAATGATTCTGTCTAGTTTGCATACGAAGATATTTCCTTTTCTACCATTGGCCTCAAAGCTTTGAAATCTCCACTTGCAAATTCCACAAAAAGAGAGTTTCAACTCTGCTGTTTCTAAAGGAAAGTTCAACTCTGAGAGTTGAATACACACCAGAAAAAGCAGTTACTGAGAAGTCTTCTGTCTAGCATTATATGAAGAAATCCCATTTCCAACGAAGACTTCAAAGAGGTCCAAATATCCACTTGCAGATTCTGCAAAAAGAGTGTTTCGAAACAACTGTATGAAAAGAAAGGTTAAACACTGTGAGTTGAACGCACACATTGCAAAGCAGTTTCTGAGAATGATTCCGTCTAATTATTATACGAAGGTATTTCCTTTTCTATCATTGGCCTCAAAGCGCTTGATACCTCCACCTGAAAATTCCACAAAAAGAGTGTTTCCAATCTACTCTGTCTAAAGGAACGTTCAACTCTGTGAGTTGAATACACACACACAGAAAGAATTCACTGAGAATTCTTCTGTCTGGCATTACATGAAGAAATCCCGTTTCCAACGAAGGCCTCAAAGAGGTCCAAATATCCACTTGCAGATTCTGCAAAAAGAGTGTTTCAAAACCGCTCCATTAAAAGGAATGTTGAACTCTGTGAGTTGAATGCAAACATCACAACTCAGTTGCTGAGAATGCTTCTGACTAGATTTTATGGTAAGATATTTCCTTTTCTACCGTAGGCTTCAATGCCCTCTAAATACACCCTTGCAAATTCTACAAAGAGACTGTTTCATAACTGCTCTATAGGAAGAAAGGTTCAACTCTGTGAGTTGAATGCAGAGATCACAACGTGGTTTCTGCGAATGATTCTTTGTAGTTTTTACATGAAGATATTTCGTTGTCAACCGTAGGCTTCAAAGCACTCAAAGTATTCACTTGGAACTTTTACAAAAAGAGTGTTAGAAAACTGCTCTTTCCAAAGTAAGGTTCAACTCTGTGAGTTGAATGCACACATAACAATCAAGAAGTTTCTGAGAATTCTTCTGTCCTGGTTTATATGAACAAATCCCGTTTCCAACGAAGGCCTCAAAGACGTTTAAATATCCACTTGCAGACTTCACAAACAGAGTGTTTCCAAACTGCTCTATGAAAAGAAAGGTTAAACTCTGTGAGTTGAACGCACACATCACAAAGTAGTTTCTGAGAATGATACTGTCTAGTTTTTATACGAAGATATTTCCTTTCTACCATTGGCGTCAAAGCGCTAGAATTCTCCACTTGCAAATTCCACAAAAAGAGTGTTTCCAATCTGCTCTGTCTAAAGGAAGGTTCAACTCTGTGAGTTGAATACACACACACAAAGAAGCTACTGAGAATTCTTTTGTCAAGAATTATAAGAAGAAATCCCGTTTCCAACGAAGGCCTCAAAGAGTTCCAAATATCCACTTGCACACTGCACAAACTAAGTCTTTCCAAACTGCTCTATGCAAAGAAATGTTCAACTCTGTGAGTTTAATACACACATCACAAAGCAGTTTCTGAGAATGATACTGTCTAGTTTTTATACGAAGATATTTCCTTTTGTACCATTGGCCTCATACTGCTAGAATTTTCCACTTGCAAATTCCACAAAAAGAGTGTTTCCAATCCGCTCTGTCTAAAGGAAGGTTCAACTCTCTGATTTGAATACATACATCCCAAAAGAAGTTCCTGAGAATTCTTCTGTCTAGCATTATGTGAAGAAATCCCGTTTCCAACGAAAGCCTCAAAGAGGTCCAAATATCCAGTTGCAGAATTTACAAACTGACTGTTTCCAAACTCATCTATGAAAAGAAAGGTTAAACTCTGGGAGTTGAATGCACATATCACAAAGTAGTTCCTGAGAATGATTCTGTCTAGTTTTCATACGAAGATATTTCCTTTTCCACCAATGGCCTCAAAGTGCTTGAAATCTCCCCTTGCAAATTCCACAGACAAGTGTTTCAAATCTGCACTGTCTAAAGGAAGGTTCAACCCTGTGAGTTGAATACACACACACAGAAAAAAATTCACTGAGAATTCTATTGTCTATCATTACACGAAGAAATCCCGTTTACTACGAAGGCCTCAAAGAGGTCCAAATATCCAGCTGCAGACATTACAAACTGAGTGTTTCCAAAGTGCTCTATGAAAAGAAGTGTTAAACACTGTGAGTTCAATGCACACATCCCAAAGCAGTTTCTGAGAATGATTCCGTCTATTTTTTCTACGAAGATATTTCCTTTTCTGCCGTTGGCCTCAAAGCGCTTGAAATCTCCACTTGCAAATTCCACAAAAAGAGAGTTTCAAATCTGCTCTGTCTAAAGGAAGGTTCAACTCTGTGAGTTGAATACACACCACAAAAAGAAGTTACTGAGAATTCTTCTGTCTAGCATTATATGAAAAATCCCGTTTCCAACGAAGGCCACAAAGAGGTCCAAATATCCACTTGCAGATTCTGCAAAAAGAGTGTTTCCAAACTGCTCTATGAAAAGAAACGTTAAACTCTGTGAGTTGAACGCAAACATCACAAAGTAGTTTCTGAGAATGACTCCGTCTAGTTTTTATACGAAGATATTTCCTTTCCTACCATTCACTTCAAAGCGCTTGAAGTCTCCCCCTGAAAATTCCACAAAAAGTGTTTCCAATCTGCTCCGCCTAAAGGAAGCTTCAACTCTGTGACTTGAATACCCACAACCCAAAGAAGTTACTGAGAATTCTTCTGTCTAGCATTATATGAAGAAATCCCGTTTCCAACGAAGGCCTCAAATACATCCAAATATCCAGTTGCTGACTTTACAAACTGAGTGTTTCCAAACTGCTCTATGAAAAGAAAGGTTAAACACTGTGAGTTGAACACACACGTACCAAAGTAGTTTCTGAGAATGATTCTGTCTAGTTTGCATACGAAGATATTTCCTTTTCTACCATTGGCCTCAAAGCTCTGAAATCTCCACTTGCAAATTCCACAAAAAGAGAGTTTCAAATCTGCTGTTTCTAAAGGAAAGTTCAACTCTGAGAGCTGAATACACACCAGAAAAAGCAGTTACTGAGAAGTCTTCTGTCTAGCATTATATGAAGAAATCCCATTTCCAACAAAGACTTCAAAGAGGTCCAAATATCCACTTGCAGATTCTGCAAAAAGAGTGTTTCGAAACAACTGTATGAAAAGAAAGGTTAAACACTGTGAGTTGAACGCACACATTGCAAAGCAGTTTCTGAGAATGATTCCGTCTAATTATTATACGAAGGTATTTCCTTTTCTATCATTGGCCTCAAAGCGCTTGATACCTCCACCTGAAAATTCCACAAAAAGAGTGTTTCCAATCTACTCTGTCTAAAGGAACGTTCAACTCTGTGAGTTGAATACACACACACAGAAAGAATTCACTGAGAATTCTTCTGTCTGGCATTACATGAAGAAATCCCGTTTCCAACGAAGGCCTCAAAGAGGTCCAAATATCCACTTGCAGATTCTGCAAAAAGAGTGTTTCAAAACCGCTCCATTAAAAGGAATGTTGAACTCTGTGAGTTGAATGCAAACATCACAACTCAGTTGCTGAGAATGCTTCTGACTAGATTTTATGGTAAGATATTTCCTTTTCTACCGTAGGCTTCAATGCCCTCTAAATACACCCTTGCAAATTCTACAAAGAGACTGTTTCATAACTGCTCTATAGGAAGAAAGGTTCAACTCTGTGAGTTGAATGCAGAGATCACAACGTGGTTTCTGCGAATGATTCTTTGTAGTTTTTACATGAAGATATTTCGTTGTCAACCGTAGGCTTCAAAGCACTCAAAGTATTCACTTGGAACTTTTACAAAAAGAGTGTTACAAAACTGCTCTTTCCAAAGTAAGGTTCAACTCGGTGAGTTGAATGCACACATAACAATCAAGAAGTATCTGAGAATTCTTCTGTCCTGGTTTATATGAAGAAATCCCGTTTCCAACGAAGGCCTCAAAGACGTTTAAATATCCACTTGCAGACTTCACAAACAGAGGGTTTCCAAACTTCTCTATGAAAAAAAAGGTTAAACTCTGTCAGTTGAACGCACACATCACAAAGTAGCTTCTGAGAATGATACTGTCTAGTTTTTATACGAAGATATTTCCTTTCTACCATTGGCGTCAAAGCGCTAGAATTCTCCACTTGCAAATTCCACAAAAAGAGTGTTTCCAATCTGCTCTGTCTAAAGGAAGGTTCAACTCTGTGAGTTGAATACACACACACAAAGAAGCTACTGAGAATTCTTTTGTCAAGAATTACAAGAAGAAATCCCGTTTCCAACGAAGGCCTCAAAGAGTTCCAAATATCCACTTGCACGCTGCACAAACTAAGTCTTTCCAAACTGCTCTATGCAAAGAAATGTTCAACTCTGTGAGTTTAATACGCACATCACAAAGCAGTTTCTGAGAATGATACTGTCTAGTTTTTATACGAAGATATTTCCTTTTGTACCATTGGCCTCATACTGCTAGAATTTTCCACTTGCAAATTCCACAAAAAGAGTGTTTCCAATCCGCTCTGTCTAAAGGAAGGTTCAACTCTCTGATTTGAATACATACATCCCAAAAGAAGTTCCTGAGAATTCTTCTGTCTAGCATTATGTGAAGAAATCCCGTTTCCAACGAAAGCCTCAAAGAGGTCCAAATATCCAGTTGCAGAATTTACAAACTGACTGTTTCCAAACTCATCTATGAAAAGAAAGGTTAAACTCTGGGAGTTGAATGCACATATCACAAAGTAGTTCCTGAGAATGATTCTGTCTAGTTTTCATACGAAGATATTTCCTTTTCCACCAATGGCCTCAAAGTGCTTGAAATCTCCCCTTGCAAATTCCACAGACAAGTGTTTCAAATCTGCACTGTCTAAAGGAAGGTTCAACCCTGTGAGTTGAATACACACACACAGAAAAAAATTCACTGAGAATTCTATTGTCTATCATTACACGAAGAAATCCCGTTTACTACGAAGGCCTCAAAGAGGTCCAAATATCCAGCTGCAGACATTTCAAACTGAGTGTTTCCAAAGTGCTCTATGAAAAGAAGTGTTAAACACTGTGAGTTCAATGCACACATCCCAAAGCAGTTTCTGAGAATGATTCCGTCTATTTTTTCTACGAAGATATTTCCTTTTCTGCCGTTGGCCTCAAAGCGCTTGAAATCTCCACTTGCAAATTCCACAAAAAGAGAGTTTCAAATCTGCTCTGTCTAAAGGAAGGTTCAACTCTGTGAGTTGAATACACACCACAAAAAGAAGTTACTGAGAATTCTTCTGTCTAGCATTATATGAAAAATCCCGTTTCCAACGAAGGCCACAAAGAGGTCCAAATATCCACTTGCAGATTCTGCAAAAAGAGTGTTTCCAAACTGCTCTATGAAAAGAAACGTTAAACTCTGTGAGTTGAACGCAAACATCACAAAGTAGTTTCTGAGAATGACTCCGTCTAGTTTTTATACGAAGATATTTCCTTTCCTACCATTCACTTCAAAGCGCTTGACGTCTCCCCCTGAAAATTCCACAAAAAGTGTTTCCAATCTGCTCCGCCTAAAGGAAGCTTCAACTCTGTGAGTTGAATACCCACAACCCAAAGAAGTTACTGAGAATTCTTCTGTCTAGCATTATATGAAGAAATCCCGTTTCCAACGAAGGCCTCAAATACATCCAAATATCCAGTTGCTGACTTTACAAACTGAGTGTTTCCAAACTGCTCTATGAAAAGAAAGGTTAAACACTGTGAGTTGAACACACACGTACCAAAGTAGTTTCTGAGAATGATTCTGTCTAGTTTGCATACGAAGATATTTCCTTTTCTACCATTGGCCTCAAAGCTCTGAAATCTCCACTTGCAAATTCCACAAAAAGAGAGTTTCAAATCTGCTGTTTCTAAAGGAAAGTTCAACTCTGAGAGTTGAATACACACCAGAAAAAGCAGTTACTGAGAAGTCTTCTGTCTAGCATTATATGAAGAAATCCCATTTCCAACGAAGACTTCAAAGAGGTCCAAATATCCACTTGCAGATTCTGCAAAAAGAGTGTTTCGAAACAACTGTATGAAAAGAAAGGTTAAACACTGTGAGTTGAACGCACACATTGCAAAGCGGTTTCTGAGAATGATTCCGTCTAATTATTATACGAAGGTATTTCCTTTTCTATCATTGGCCTCAAAGCGCTTGATACCTCCACCTGAAAATTCCACAAAAAGAGTGTTTCCAATCTACTCTGTCTAAAGGAACGTTCAACTCTGTGAGTTGAATACACACACACAGAAAGAATTCACTGAGAATTCTTCTGTCTGGCATTACATGAAGAAATCCCGTTTCCAACGAAGGCCTCAAAGAGGTCCAAATATCCACTTGCAGATTCTGCAAAAAGAGTGTTTCAAAACCGCTCCATTAAAAGGAATGTTGAACTCTGTGAGTTGAATGCAAACATCACAACTCAGTTTCTGAGAATGCTTCTGACTAGATTTTATGGTCAGATATTTCCTTTTCTACCGTAGGCCTCAATGCCCTCTAAATACACCCTTGCAAATTCTACAAAGAGACTGTTTAATAATTGCTCTATAGGAAGAAAGGTTGAACTCTGTGAGTTGAACGCAGAGATCACAACGTGGTTTCTGCGAATGATCTCTTTGTAGTTTTTACATGAAGATATTTCGTTGTCAACCGTAGGCTTCAAAGCACTCAAAGTATTCACTTGGAACTTTTACAAAAAGAGTGTTAGAAAACTGCTCTTTCCAAAGTAAGGTTCAACTCTGTGAGTTGAATGCACACATAACAATCAAGAAGTTTCTGAGAATTCTTCTGTCCTGGTTTATATGAAAAAATCCCGTTTCCAACGAAGGCCTCAAAGACGTTTAAATATCCACTTGCAGACTTCACAAACAGAGGGTTTCCAAACTGCTCTATGAAAAGAAAGGTTAAACTCTGTGAGTTGAACGCACACATCACAAAGTAGCTTCTGAGAATGATACTGTCTAGTTTTTATACGAAGATATTTCCTTTCTACCATTGGCGTCAAAGCGCTAGAATTCTCCACTTGCAAATTCCACAAAAAGAGTGTTTCCAATCTGCTCTGTCTAAAGGAAGGTTCAACTCTGTGAGTTGAATACACACACACAAAGAAGCTACTGAGAATTCTTTTGTCAAGAATTATAAGAAGAAATCCCGTTTCCAACGAAGGCCTCAAAGAGTTCCAAATATCCACTTGCACACTGCACAAACTAAGTCTTTCCAAACTGCTCTATGCAAAGAAATGTTCAACTGCTGTGAGTTTAATACACACATCACAAAGCAGTTTCTGAGAATGATAACTGTCTAGTTTTTATACGAAGATATTTCCTTTTGTACCATTGGCCTCATACTGCTAGAATTTTCCACTTGCAAATTCCACAAAAAGAGTGTTTCCAATCCGCTCTGTCTAAAGGAAGGTTCAACTCTCTGATTTGAATACATACATCCCAAAAGAAGTTACTGAGAATTCTTCTGTCTAGCATTATGTGAAGAAATCCCGTTTCCAACGAAAGCCTCAAAGAGGTCCAAATATCCAGTTGCAGAATTTACAAACTGACTGTTTCCAAACTCATCTATGAAAAGAAAGGTTAAACTCTGTGAGTTGAATGCACATATCACAAAGTAGTTCCTGAGAATGATTCTGTCTAGTTTTTATACGAAGATATTTCCTTTTCCACCAATGGCCTCAAAGTGCTTGAAATCTCCCCTTGCAAATTCCACAGACAAGTGTTTCAAATCTGCACTGTCTAAAGGAAGGTTCAACCCTGTGAGTTGAATACACACACACAGAAAAAAATTCACTGAGAATTCTATTGTCTATCATTACACGAAGAAATCCCGTTTACTACGAAGGCCTCAAAGAGGTCCAAATATCCAGCTGCAGACATTACAAACTGAGTGTTTCCAAAGTGCTCTATGAAAAGAAGTGTTAAACACTGTGAGTTCAATGCACACATCCCAAAGCAGTTTCTGAGAATGATTCCGTCTATTTTTTCTACGAAGATATTTCCTTTTCTGCCGTTGGCCTCAAAGCGCTTGAAATCTCCACTTGCAAATTCCACAAAAAGAGAGTTTCAAATCTGCTCTGTCTAAAGGAAGGTTCAACTCTGTGAGTTGAATACACACCACAAAAAGAAGTTACTGAGAATTCTTCTGTCTAGCATTATATGAAAAATCCCGTTTCCAACGAAGGCCACAAAGAGGTCCAAATATCCACTTGCAGATTCTGCAAAAAGAGTGTTTCCAAACTGCTCTATGAAAAGAAACGTTAAACTCTGTGAGTTGAACGCAAACATCACAAAGTAGTTTCTGAGAATGACTCCGTCTAGTTTTTATACGAAGATATTTCCTTTCCTACCATTCACTTCAAAGCGCTTGAAGTCTCCCCCTGAAAATTCCACAAAAAGTGTTTCCAATCTGCTCCGCCTAAAGGAAGCTTCAACTCTGTGACTTGAATACCCACAACCCAAAGAAGTTACTGAGAATTCTTCTGTCTAGCATTATATGAAGAAATCCCGTTTCCAACGAAGGCCTCAAATACATCCAAATATCCAGTTGCTGACTTTACAAACTGAGTGTTTCCAAACTGCTCTATGAAAAGAAAGGTTAAACACTGTGAGTTGAACACACACGTACCAAAGTAGTTTCTGAGAATGATTCTGTCTAGTTTGCATACGAAGATATTTCCTTTTCTACCGTTGGCCTCAAAGCTCTGAAATCTCCACTTGCAAATTCCACAAAAAGAGAGTTTCAAATCTGCTGTTTCTAAAGGAAAGTTCAACTCTGAGAGTTGAATACACACCAGAAAAAGCAGTTACTGAGAAGTCTTCTGTCTAGCATTATATGAAGAAATCCCAATTCCAACGAAGACTTCAAAGAGGTCCAAATATCCACTTGCAGATTCTGCAAAAAGAGTGTTTCGAAACAACTGTATGAAAAGAAAGGTTAAACACTGTGAGTTGAACGCACACATTGCAAAGCAGTTTCTGAGAATGATTCCGTCTAATTATTATACGAAGGTATTTCCTTTTCTATCATTGGTCTCAAAGCGCTTGATACCTCCACCTGAAAATTCCACAAAAAGAGTGTTTCCAATCTACTCTGTCTAAAGGAACGTTCAACTCTGTGAGTTGAATACACACACACAGAAAGAATTCACTGAGAATTCTTCTGTCTGGCATTACATGAAGAAATCCCGTTTCCAACGAAGGCCTCAAAGAGGTCCAAATATCCACTTGCAGATTCTGCAAAAAGAGTGTTTCAAAACCGCTCCATTAAAAGGAATGTTGAACTCTGTGAGTTGAATGCAAACATCACAACTCAGTTTCTGAGAATGCTTCTGACTAGATTTTATGGTAAGATATTTCCTTTTCTACCGTAGGCTTCAATGCCCTCTAAATACACCCTTGCAAATTCTACAAAGAGACTGTTTCATAACTGCTCTATAGGAAGAAAGGTTCAACACTGTGAGTTGAATGCAGAGATCACAACGTGGTTTCTGCGAATGATTCTTTGTAGTTTTTACATGAAGATATTTCGTTGTCAACCGTAGGCTTCAAAGCACTCAAAGTATTCACTTGGAACTTTTACAAAAAGAGTGTTAGAAAACTGCTCTTTCCAAAGTAAGGTTCAACTCTGTGAGTTGAATGCACACATAACAATCAAGAAGTTTCTGAGAATTCTTCTGTCCTGGTTTATATGAAAAAATCCCGTTTCCAACGAAGGCCTCAAAGACGTTTAAATATCCACTTGCAGACTTCACAAACAGAGGGTTTCCAAACTGCTCTATGAAAAGAAAGGTTAAACTCTGTGAGTTTAATACACACATCACAAAGCAGTTTCTGAGAATGATACTGTCTAGTTTTTATACGAAGATATTTCCTTTTGTACCATTGGCCTCATACTGCTAGAATTTTCCACTTGCAAATTCCACAAAAAGAGTGTTTCCAATCCGCTCTGTCTAAAGGAAGGTTCAACTCTCTGATTTGAATACATACATCCCAAAAGAAGTTACTGAGAATTCTTCTGTCTAGCATTATGTGAAGAAATCCCGTTTCCAACGAAAGCCTCAAAGAGGTCCAAATATCCAGTTGCAGAATTTACAAACTGACTGTTTCCAAACTCATCTATGAAAAGAAAGGTTAAACTCTGGGAGTTGAATGCACATATCACAAAGTAGTTCCTGAGAATGATTCTGTCTAGTTTTCATACGAAGATATTTCCTTTTCCACCAATGGCCTCAAAGTGCTTGAAATCTCCCCTTGCAAATTCCACAGACAAGTGTTTCAAATCTGCACTGTCTAAAGGAAGGTTCAACCCTGTGAGTTGAATACACACACACAGAAAAAAATTCACTGAGAATTCTATTGTCTATCATTACACGAAGAAATCCCGTTTACTACGAAGGCCTCAAAGAGGTCCAAATATCCAGCTGCAGACATTACAAACTGAGTGTTTCCAAAGTGCTCTATGAAAAGAAGTGTTAAACACTGTGAGTTCAATGCACACATCCCAAAGCAGTTTCTGAGAATGATTCCGTCTATTTTTTCTACGAAGATATTTCCTTTTCTGCCGTTGGCCTCAAAGCGCTTGAAATCTCCACTTGCAAATTCCACAAAAAGAGAGTTTCAAATCTGCTCTGTCTAAAGGAAGGTTCAACTCTGTGAGTTGAATACACACCACAAAAAGAAGTTACTGAGAATTCTTCTGTCTAGCATTATATGAAAAATCCCGTTTCCAACGAAGGCCACAAAGAGGTCTAAATATCCACTTGCAGATTCTGCAAAAAGAGTGTTTCCAAACTGCTCTATGAAAAGAAACGTTAAACTACTGTGAGTTGAACGCAAACATCACAAAGTAGTTTCTGAGAATGACTTCCGTCTAGTTTTTATACGAAGATATTTCCTTTTCTACCATTCACTTCAAAGCGCTTGAAGTCTCCCCCTGAAAATTGCACTAAAAGAGTGTTTCCAATCGGCTCCGCCTAAAGGAAGCTTCAACTCTGTGAGTTGAATACCCAGACCACAAAGAAGTTACTGAGAATTCTTCTGTCTAGCATTATATGAAGAAATCCCGTTTCCAACGAAGGCCTCAAATACATCCAAATATCCAGTTGCTGACTTTACAAACTGAGTGTTTCCAAACTGCTCTATGAAAAGAAAGGTTAAACACTGTGAGTTGAACACACACGTACCAAAGTAGTTTCTGAGAATGATTCTATCTAGTTTGCATACGAAGATATTTCCTTTTCTACCATTGGCCTCAAAGCTCTGAAATCTCCACTTACAAATTCCACAAAAAGAGAGTTTCAAATCTGCTGTTTCTAAAGGAAAGTTCAACTCTGAGAGTTGAATACACACCAGAAAAAGCAGTTACTGAGAAGTCTTCTGTCTAGCATTATATGAAGAAATCCCATTTCCAACGAAGACTTCAAAGAGGTCCAAATATCCACTTGCAGATTCTGCAAAAAGAGTGTTTCGAAACAACTGTATGAAAAGAAAGGTTAAACACTGTGAGTTGAACGCACACATTGCAAAGCAGTTTCTGAGAATGATTCCGTCTAATTATTATACGAAGGTATTTCCTTTTCTATCATTGGTCTCAAAGCGCTTGATACCTCCACCTGAAAATTCCACAAAAAGAGTGTTTCCAATCTACTCTGTCTAAAGGAACGTTCAACTCTGTGAGTTGAATACACACACACAGAAAGAATTCACTGAGAATTCTTCTGTCTGGCATTACATGAAGAAATCCCGTTTCCAACGAAGGCCTCAAAGAGGTCCAAATATCCACTTGCAGATTCTGCAAAAAGAGTGTTTCAAAACCGCTCCATTAAAAGGAATGTTGAACTCTGTGAGTTGAATGCAAACATCACAACTCAGTTTCTGAGAATGCTTCTGACTAGATTTTATGGTAAGATATTTCCTTTTCTACTGTAGGCTTCAATGCCCTCTAAATACACCCTTGCAAATTCTACAAAGAGACTGTTTCATAACTGCTCTATAGGAAGAAAGGTTCAACACTGTGAGTTGAATGCAGAGATCACAACGTGGTTTCTGCGAATGATTCTTTGTAGTTTTTACATGAAGATATTTCGTTGTCAACCGTAGGCTTCAAAGCACTCAAAGTATTCACTTGGAACTTTTACAAAAAGAGTGTTAGAAAACTGCTCTTTCCAAAGTAAGGTTCAACTCTGTGAGTTGAATGCACACATAACAATCAAGAAGTTTCTGAGAATTCTTCTGTCCTGGTTTATATGAAAAAATCCCGTTTCCAACGAAGGCCCTCAAAGACGTTTAAATATCCACTTGCAGACTTCACAAACAGAGGGTTTCCAAACTGCTTTATGAAAAGAAAGGTTAAACTCTGTGAGTTGAACGCACACATCACAAAGTAGCTTCTGAGAATGATACTGTCTAGTTTGCATACGAAGATATTTCCTTTCTACCATTGGCGTCAAAGCGCTAGAATTCTCCACTTGCAAATTCCACAAAAAGAGTGTTTCCAATCTGCTCTGTCTAAAGGAAGGTTCAACTCTGTGAGTTGAATACACACACACAAAGAAGCTACTGAGAATTCTTTTGTCAAGAATTATAAGAAGAAATCCCGTTTCCAACGAAGGCCTCAAAGAGTTCCAAATATCCACTTGCACACTGCACAAACTAAGTCTTTCCAAACTGCTCTATGCAAAGAAATGTTCAACTCTGTGAGTTTAATACACACATCACAAAGCAGTTTCTGAGAATGATACTGTCTAGTTTTTATACGAAGATATTTCCTTTTGTACCATTGGCCTCATACTGCTAGAATTTTCCACTTGCAAATTCCACAAAAAGAGTGTTTCCAATCCGCTCTGTCTAAAGGAAGGTTCAACTCTCTGATTTGAATACATACATCCCAAAAGAAGTTACTGAGAATTCTTCTGTCTAGCATTATGTGAAGAAATCCCGTTTCCAACGAAAGCCTCAAAGAGGTCCAAATATCCAGTGGCAGAATTTACAAACTGACTGTTTCCAAACTCATCTATGAAAAGAAAGGTTAAACTCTGTGAGTTGAATGCACATATCACAAAGTAGTTCCTGAGAATGATTCTGTCTAGTTTTTATACGAAGATATTTCCTTTTCCACCAATGGCCTCAAAGTGCTTGAAATCTCCCCTTGCAAATTCCACAGACAAGTGTTTCAAATCTGCACTGTCTAAAGGAAGGTTCAACCCTGTGAGTTGAATACACACACACAGAAAAAAATTCACTGAGAATTCTATTGTCTATCATTACACGAAGAAATCCCGTTTACTACGAAGGCCTCAAAGAGGTCCAAATATCCAGCTGCAGACATTACAAACTGAGTGTTTCCAAAGTGCTCTATGAAAAGCAAGTGTTAAACACTGTGAGTTCAATGCACACATCCCAAAGCAGTTTCTGAGAATGATGCCGTCTATTTTTTCTACGAAGATATTTCCTTTTCTGCCGTTGGCCTCAAAGCGCTTGAAATCTCCACTTGCAAATTCCACAAAAAGAGAGTTTCAAATCTGCTCTGTCTAAAGGAAGGTTCAACTCTGTGAGTTGAATACACACCACAAAAAGAAGTTACTGAGAATTCTTCTGTCTAGCATTATATGAAAAATCCCGTTTCCAACGAAGGCCACAAAGAGGTCCAAATATCCACTTGCAGATTCTGCAAAAAGAGTGTTTCCAAACTGCTCTATGAAAAGAAACGTTAAACTCTGTGAGTTGAACGCAAACATCACAAAGTAGTTTCTGAGAATGACTCCGTCTAGTTTTTATACGAAGATATTTCCTTTCCTACCATTCACTTCAAAGCGCTTGAAGTCTCCCCCTGAAAATTCCACAAAAAGTGTTTCCAATCTGCTCCGCCTAAAGGAAGCTTCAACTCTGTGACTTGAATACCCACAACCCAAAGAAGTTACTGAGAATTCTTCTGTCTAGCACTATATGAAGAAATCCCGTTTCCAACGAAGGCCTCAAATACATCCAAATATCCAGTTGCTGACTTTACAAACTGAGTGTTTCCAAACTGCTCTATGAAAAGAAAGGTTAAACACTGTGAGTTGAACACACACGTACCAAAGTAGTTTCTGAGAATGATTCTGTCTAGTTTGCATACGAAGATATTTCCTTTTCTACCATTGGCCTCAAAGCTCTGAAATCTCCACTTGCAAATTCCACAAAAAGAGAGTTTCAAATCTGCTGTTTCTAAAGGAAAGTTCAACTCTGAGAGTTGAATACACACCAGAAAAAGCAGTTACTGAGAAGTCTTCTGTCTAGCATTATATGAAGAAATCCCATTTCCAACGAAGACTTCAAAGAGGTCCAAATATCCACTTGCAGATTCTGCAAAAAGAGTGTTTCGAAACAACTGTATGAAAAGAAAGGTTAAACACTGTGAGTTGAACGCACACATTGCAAAGCGGTTTCTGAGAATGATTCCGTCTAATTATTATACGAAGGTATTTCCTTTTCTATCATTGGCCTCAAAGCGCTTGATACCTCCACCTGAAAATTCCACAAAAAGAGTGTTTCCAATCTACTCTGTCTAAAGGAACGTTCAACTCTGTGAGTTGAATACACACACACAGAAAGAATTCACTGAGAATTCTTCTGTCTGGCATTACATGAAGAAATCCCGTTTCCAACGAAGGCCTCAAAGAGGTCCAAATATCCACTTGCAGATTCTGCAAAAAGAGTGTTTCAAAACCGCTCCATTAAAAGGAATGTTGAACTCTGTGAGTTGAATGCAAACATCACAACTCAGTTGCTGAGAATGCTTCTGACTAGATTTTATGGTAAGATATTTCCTTTTATACCGTAGGCTTCAATGCCCTCTAAATACACCCTTGCAAATTCTACAAAGAGACTGTTTCATAACTGCTCTATAGGAAGAAAGGTTCAACTCTGTGAGTTGAATGCAGAGATCACAACGTGGTTTCTGCGAATGATTCTTTGTAGTTTTTACATGAAGATATTTCGTTGTCAACCGTAGGCTTCAAAGCACTCAAAGTATTCACTTGGAACTTTTACAAAAAGAGTGTTAGAAAACTGCTCTTTCCAAAGTAAGGTTCAACTCTGTGAGTTGAATGCACACATAACAATCAAGAAGTTTCTGAGAATTCTTCTGTCCTGGTTTATATGAAAAAATCCCGTTTCCAACGAAGGCCTCAAAGACGTTTAAATATCCACTTGCAGACTTCACAAACAGAGGGTTTCCAAACTGCTCTATGAAAAGAAAGGTTAAACTCTGTGAGTTGAACGCACACATCACAAAGTAGCTTCTGAGAATGATACTGTCTAGTTTTTATACGAAGATATTTCCTTTCTACCATTGGCGTCAAAGCGCTAGAATTCTCCACTTGCAAATTCCACAAAAAGAGTGTTTCCAATCTGCTCTGTCTAAAGGAAGGTTCAACTCTGTGAGTTGAATACACACACACAAAGAAGCTACTGAGAATTCTTTTGTCAAGAATTATAAGAAGAAATCCCGTTTCCAACGAAGGCCTCAAAGAGTTCCAAATATCCACTTGCACACTGTACAAACTAAGTCTTTCCAAACTGCTCTATGCAAAGAAATGTTCAACTCTGTGAGTTTAATGCACACATCACAAAGCAGTTTACTGAGAATGATTACTGTCTAGTTTTTATACGAAGATATTTCCTTTTGTACCATTGGCCTCATACTGCTAGAATTTTCCACTTGCAAATTCCACAAAAAGAGTGTTTCCAATCCGCTCTGTCTAAAGGAAGGTTCAACCCTCTGATTTGAATACATACATCCCAAAAGAAGTTACTGAGAATTCTTATGTCTAGCATTATGTGAAGAAATCCCGTTTCCAACGAAAGCCTCAAAGAGGTCCAAATATCCAGTTGCAGAATTTACAAACTGACTGTTTCCAAACTCATCTATGAAAAGAAAGGTTAAACTCTGGGAGTTGAATGCACATATCACAAAGTAGTTCCTGAGAATGATTCTGTCTAGTTTTTATACGAAGATATTTCCTTTTCCACCAATGGCCTCAAAGTGCTTGAAATCTCCCCTTGCAAATTCCACAGACAAGTGTTTCAAATCTGCACTGTCTGAAGGAAGGTTCAACCCTGTGAGTTGAATACACACACACAGAAAAAAATTCACTGAGAATTCTATTGTCTATCATTACACGAAGAAATCCCGTTTACTACGAAGGCCTCAAAGAGGTCCAAATATCCAGCTGCAGACATCACAAACTGAGTGTTTCCAAAGTGCTCTATGAAAAGAAGGGTTAAACACTTTGAGTTCAATGCACACATCCCAAAGCAGTTTCTGAGAATGATTCCGTCTATTTTCTCTACGAAGATATTTCCTTTTCTGCCGTTGGCCTCAAAGCGCTTGAAATCTCCACTTGCAAATTCCACAAAAAGAGAGTTTCAAATCTGCTCTGTCTAAAGGAAGGTTCAACTCTGTGAGTTGAATACACACCACAAAAAGAAGTTACTGAGAATTCTTCTGTCTAGCATTATATGAAAAATCCCGTTTCCAACGAAGGCCACAAAGAGGTCCAAATATCCACTTGCAGATTCTGCAAAAAGAGTGTTTCCAAACTGCTCTATGAAAAGAAACGTTAAACTCTGTGAGTTGAACGCAAACATCACAAAGTAGTTTCTGAGAATGACTCCGTCTAGTTTTTATACGAAGATATTTCCTTTCCTACCATTCACTTCAAAGCGCTTGAAGTCTCCCCCTGAAAATTCCACAAAAAGTGTTTCCAATCTGCTCCGCCTAAAGGAAGCTTCAACTCTGTGACTTGAATACCCACAACCCAAAGAAGTTACTGAGAATTCTTCTGTCTAGCATTATATGAAGAAATCCCGTTTCCAACGAAGGCCTCAAATACATCCAAATATCCAGTTGCTGACTTTACAAACTGAGTGTTTCCAAACTGCTCTATGAAAAGAAAGGTTAAACACTGTGAGTTGAACACACACGTACCAAAGTAGTTTCTGAGAATGATTCTGTCTAGTTTGCATACGAAGATATTTCCTTTTCTACCATTGGCCTCAAAGCTCTGAAATCTCCACTTGCAAATTCCACAAAAAGAGAGTTTCAAATCTGCTGTTTCTAAAGGAAAGTTCAACTCTGAGAGTAGAATACACACCAGAAAAAGCAGTTACTGAGAAGTCTTCTGTCTAGCATTATATGAAGAAATCCCATTTCCAACGAAGACTTCAAAGAGGTCCAAATATCCACTTGCAGATTCTGCAAAAAGAGTGTTTCGAAACAACTGTATGAAAAGAAAGGTTAAACACTGTGAGTTGAACGCACACATTGCAAAGCAGTTTCTGAGAATGATTCCGTCTAATTATTATACGAAGGTATTTCCTTTTCTATCATTGGCCTCAAAGCGCTTGATACCTCCACCTGAAAATTCCACAAAAAGAGTGTTTCCAATCTACTCTGTCTAAAGGAACGTTCAACTCTGTGAGTTGAATACACACACACAGAAAGAATTCACTGAGAATTCTTCTGTCTGGCATTACATGAAGAAATCCCGTTTCCAACGAAGGCCTCAAAGAGGTCCAAATATCCACTTGCAGATTCTGCAAAAAGAGTGTTTCAAAACCGCTCCATTAAAAGGAATGTTGAACTCTGTGAGTTGAATGCAAACATCACAACTCAGTTTCTGAGAATGCTTCTGACTAGATTTTATGGTAAGATATTTCCTTTTCTACCGTAGGCTTCAATGCCCTCTAAATACACCCTTGCAAATTCTACAAAGAGACTGTTTCATAACTGCTCTATAGGAGGAAAGGTTCAACTCTGTGAGTTGAATGCAGAGATCACAACGTGGTTTCTGCGAATGATTCTTTGTAGTTTTTACATGAAGATATTTCGTTGTCAACCGTAGGCTTCAAAGCACTCAAAGTATTCACTTGGAACTTTTACAAAAAGAGTGTTAGAAAACTGCTCTTTCCAAAGTAAGGTTCAACTCTGTGAGTTGAATGCACACATAACAATCAAGAAGTTTCTGAGAATTCTTCTGTCCTGGTTTATATGAACAAATCCCGTTTCCAACGAAGGCCTCAAAGCACGTTTAAATATATACCTGCAGACTTCACAAACAGAGTGTTTCCAAACTGCTCTATGAAAAGAAAGGTTAAACTCTGTGAGTTGAACGCACACATCACAAAGTAGTTTCTGAGAATGATAACTGTCTAGTTTTTATACGAAGATATTTCCTTTCTACCATTGGCGTCAAAGCGCTAGAATTCTCCACTTGCAAATTCCACAAAAAGAGTGTTTCCAATCTGCTCTGTCTAAAGGAAGGTTCAACTCTGTGAGTTGAATACACACACACACAAAGAAGCTACTGAGAATTCTTTTGTCAAGAATTATAAGAAGAAATCCCGTTTCCAACGAAGGCCTCAAAGAGTTCCAAATATCCACTTGCACACTGCACAAACTAAGTCTTTCCAAACTGCTCTATGCAAAGAAATGTTCAACTCTGTGAGTTTAATACACACATCACAAAGCAGTTTCTGAGAATGATTACTGTCTAGTTTTTATACGAAAGATATTTCCTTTTGTACCATTGGCCTCATACTGCTAGAATTTTCCACTTGCAAATTCCACAAAAAGAGTGTTTCCAATCCGCTCTGTCTAAAGGAAGGTTCAACTCTCTGATTTGAATACATACATCCCAAAAGAAGTTCCTGAGAATTCTTCTGTCTAGCATTATGTGAAGAAATCCCGTTTCCAACGAAAGCCTCAAAGAGGTCCAAATATCCAGTTGCAGAATTTACAAACTGACTGTTTCCAAACTCATCTATGAAAAGAAAGGTTAAACTCTGGGAGTTGAATGCACATATCACAAAGTAGTTCCTGAGAATGATTCTGTCTAGTTTTCATACGAAGATATTTCCTTTTCCACCAATGGCCTCAAAGTGCTTGAAATCTCCCCTTGCAAATTCCACAGACAAGTGTCTCAAATCTGCACTGTCTAAAGGAAGGTTCAACCCTGTGAGTTGAATACACACACACAGAAAAAAATTCACTGAGAATTCTATTGTCTATCATTACACGAAGAAATCCCGTTTACTACGAAGGCCTCAAAGAGGTCCAAATATCCAGCTGCAGACATTACAAACTGAGTGTTTCCAAAGTGCTCTATGAAAAGAAGTGTTAAACACTGTGAGTTCAATGCACACATCTCAAAGCAGTTTCTGAGAATGATTCCGTCTATTTTTTCTACGAAGATATTTCCTTTTCTACCGTTGGCCTCAAAGCGCTTGAAATCTCCACTTGCAAATTCCACAAAAAGAGAGTTTCAAATCTGCTCTGTCTAAAGGAAGGTTCAACTCTGTGAGTTGAATACACACCACAAAAAGAAGTTACTGAGAATTCTTCTGTCTAGCATTATATGAAAAATCCCGTTTCCAACGAAGGCCACAAAGAGGTCCAAATATCCACTTGCAGATTCTGCAAAAAGAGTGTTTCCAAACTGCTCTATGAAAAGAAACGTTAAACTCTGTGAGTTGAACGCAAACATCACAAAGTAGTTTCTGAGAATGACTCCGTCTAGTTTTTATACGAAGATATTTCCTTTCCTACCATTCACTTCAAAGCGCTTGAAGTCTCCCCCTGAAAATTCCACAAAAAGTGTTTCCAATCTGCTCCGCCTAAAGGAAGCTTCAACTCTGTGAGTTGAATACTCACAACCCAAAGAAGTTACTGAGAATTCTTCTGTCTAGCACTATATGAAGTAAATCCCGTTTCCAACGAAGGCCTCAAATACATCCAAATATCCAGTTGCTGACTTTACAAACTGAGTGTTTCCAAACTGCTCTATGAAAAGAAAGGTTAAACACTGTGAGTTGAACACACACGTACCAAAGTAGTTTCTGAGAATGATTCTGTCTAGTTTGCATACGAAGATATTTCCTTTTCTACCATTGGCCTCAAAGCTTTGAAATCTCCACTTGCAAATTCCACAAAAAGAGAGTTTCAACTCTGCTGTTTCTAAAGGAAAGTTCAACTCTGAGAGTTGAATACACACCAGAAAAAGCAGTTACTGAGAAGTCTTCTGTCTGGCATTACATGAAGAAATCCCGTTTCCAACGAAGGCCTCAAAGAGGTCCAAATATCCACTTGCAGATTCTGCAAAAAGAGTGTTTCGAAACAACTGTATGAAAAGAAAGGTTAAACACTGTGAGTTGAACGCACACATTGCAAAGCGGTTTCTGAGAATGATTCCGTCTAATTATTATACGAAGGTATTTCCTTTTCTATCATTGGCCTCAAAGCGCTTGATACCTCCACCTGAAAATTCCACAAAAAGAGTGTTTCCAATCTACTCTGTCTAAAGGAACGTTCAACTCTGTGAGTTGAATACACACACACAGAAAGAATTCACTGAGAATTCTTCTGTCTGGCATTACATGAAGAAATCCCGTTTCCAACGAAGGCCTCAAAGAGGTCCAAATATCCACTTGCAGATTCTGCAAAAAGAGTGTTTCAAAACCGCTCCATTAAAAGGAATGTTGAACTCTGTGAGTTGAATGCAAACATCACAACTCAGTTTCTGAGAATGCTTCTGACTAGATTTTATGGTAAGATATTTCCTTTTCTACCGTAGGCTTCAATGCCCTCTAAATACACCCTTGCAAATTCTACAAAGAGACTGTTTCATAACTGCTCTATAGGAAGAAAGGTTGAACTCTGTGAGTGGAATGCAGAGATCACAACGTGGTTTCTGCGAATGATTCTTTGTAGTTTTTACATGAAGATATTTCGTTGTCAACCGTAGGCTTCAAAGCACTCAATGTATTCACTTGGAATTTTTACAAAAAGAGTGTTAGAAAACTGCTCTTTCCAAAGTAAGGTTCTACTCTGTGAGTTGAATGCACACATAACAATCAAGAAGTTTCTGAGAATTCTTCTGTCCTGGTTTATATGAACAAATCCCGTTTCCAACGAAGGCCTCAAAGACGTTTAAATATCCACTTGCAGACTTCACAAACAGAGTGTTTCCAAACTGCTCTATGAAAAGAAAGGTTAAACTCTGTGAGTTGAACGCACACATCACAAAGTAGTTTCTGAGAATGATACTGTCTAGTTTTTATACGAAGATATTTCCTTTCTACCATTGGCGTCAAAGCGCTAGAATTCTCCACTTGCAAATTCCACAAAAAGAGTGTTTCCAATCTGCTCTGTCTAAAGGACGGTTCAACTCTGTGAGTTGAATACACACACACAAAGAAGCTACTGAGAATTCTTTTGTCAAGAATTATAAGACGAAATCCCGTTTCCAACGAAGGCCTCAAAGAGTTCCAAATATCCACTTGCACACTGTACAAACTAAGTCTTTCCAAACTGCTTTATGCAAAGAAATGTTCAACTCTGTGAGTTTAATGCACACATCACAAAGCAGTTTCTGAGAATGATTCCGTCTAGTTTTTATACGAAGATAGCCTTTTCTACCATTGGCCTCAAGGTTATTGAAATCTCCACCTGAAAATTCCACAAAAAGCGTGTTTCCAATCCGCTCTGTCTAAGGGAAGGTTCAACTCTCTGAGTTGAATACATACATCCCAAAAGAAGTTACTGAGAATTCTTCTGTCTAGCATTATGTGAAGAAATCCCGTTTCCAACGAAAGCCTCAAAGAGGTCCAAATATCCAGTTGCAGAATTTACAAACTGACTCTTTCCAAACTCATCTATGAAAAGAAAGGTTAAACTCTGTGAGTTGAATGCACATATCACAAAGTAGTTCCTGAGAATGATTCTGTCTAGTTTTTATACGAAGTTATTTCCTTTTCCACCAATGGCCTCAAAGTGCTTGAAATCTCCCCTTGCAAATTCCACAGACAAGTGTTTCAAATCTGCACTGTCTAAAGGAAGGTTCAACCCTGTGAGTTGAATACACACACACAGAAAAAAATTCACTGAGAATTCTATTGTCTATCATTACACGAAGAAATCCCGTTTACTACGAAGGCCTCAAAGAGGTCCAAATATCCAGCTGCAGACATTACAAACTGAGTATTTCCAAAGTGCTCTATGAAAAGAAGTGTTAAACACTGTGAGTTCAATGCACACATCCCAAAGCAGTTTCTGAGAATGATTCCGTCTATTTTCTCTACGAAGATATTTCCTTTTCTACCGTTGGCCTCAAAGCGCTTGAAATCTCCACTTGCAAATTCCACAAAAAGAGAGTTTCAAATCTGCTCTGTCTAAAGGAAGGTTCAACTCTGTGAGTTGAATACACACCACAAAAAGAAGTTACTGAGAATTCTTCTGTCTAGCATTATATGAAAAATCCCGTTTCCAACGAAGGCCACAAAGAGGTCCAAATATCCACTTGCAGATTCTGCAAAAAGAGTGTTTCCAAACTGCTCTATGAAAAGAAACGTTAAACTCTGTGAGTTGAACGCAAACATCACAAAGTAGTTTCTGAGAATGACTCCGTCTAGTTTTTATACGAAGATATTTCCTTTCCTACCATTCACTTCAAAGCGCTTGAAGTCTCCCCCTGAAAATTCCACAAAAAGTGTTTCCAATCTGCTCCGCCTAAAGGAAGCTTCAACTCTGTGACTTGAATACCCACAACCCAAAGAAGTTACTGAGAATTCTTCTGTCTAGCATTATATGAAGAAATCCCGTTTCCAACGAAGGCCTCAAATACATCCAAATATCCAGTTGCTGACTTTACAAACTGAGTGTTTCCAAACTGCTCTATGAAAAGAAAGGTTAAACACTGTGAGTTGAACACACACGTACCAAAGTAGTTTCTGAGAATGATTCTGTCTAGTTTGCATACGAAGATATTTCCTTTTCTACCATTGGCCTCAAAGCTCTGAAATCTCCACTTGCAAATTCCACAAAAAGAGAGTTTCAAATCTGCTGTTTCTAAAGGAAAGTTCAACTCTGAGAGTTGAATACACACCAGAAAAAGCAGTTACTGAGAAGTCTTCTGTCTAGCATTATATGAAGAAATCCCATTTCCAACGAAGACTTCAAAGAGGTCCAAATATCCACTTGCAGATTCTGCAAAAAGAGTGTTTCGAAACAACTGTATGAAAAGAAAGGTTAAACACTGTGAGTTGAACGCACACATTGCAAAGCGGTTTCTGAGAATGATTCCGTCTAATTATTATACGAAGGTATTTCCTTTTCTATCATTGGCCTCAAAGCGCTTGATACCTCCACCTGAAAATTCCACAAAAAGAGTGTTTCCAATCTACTCTGTCTAAAGGAACGTTCAACTCTGTGAGTTGAATACACACACACAGAAAGAATTCACTGAGAATTCTTCTGTCTGGCATTACATGAAGAAATCCCGTTTCCAACGAAGGCCTCAAAGAGGTCCAAATATCCACTTGCAGATTCTGCAAAAAGAGTGTTTCAAAACCGCTCCATTAAAAGGAATGTTGAACTCTGTGAGTTGAATGCAAACATCACAACTCAGTTTCTGAGAATGCTTCTGACTAGATTTTATGGTAAGATATTTCCTTTTCTACCGTAGGCTTCAATGCCCTCTAAATACACCCTTGCAAATTCTACAAAGAGACTGTTTCATAACTGCTCTATAGGAAGAAAGGTTGAACTCTGTGAGTTGAATGCAGAGATCACAACGTGGTTTCTGCGAATGATTCTTTGTAGTTTTTACATGAAGATATTTCGTTGTCAACCGTAGGCTTCAAAGCACTCAAAGTATTCACTTGGAACTTTTACAAAAAGAGTGTTAGAAAACTGCTCTTTCCAAAGTAAGGTTCAACTCTGTGAGTTGAATGCACACATAACAATCAAGAAGTTTCTGAGAATTCTTCTGTCCTGGTTTATATGAAAAAATCCCGTTACCAACGAAGGCCTCAAAGACGTTTAAATATCCACTTGCAGACTTCACAAACAGAGGGTTTCCAAACTGCTCTATGAAAAGAAAGGTTAAACTCTGTGAGTTGAACGCGCACATCACAAAGTAGCTTCTGAGAATGATACTGTCTAGTTTTTATACGAAGATATTTCCTTTCTACCATTGGCGTCAAAGCGCTAGAATTCTCCACTTGCCAATTCCACAAAAAGAGTGTTTCCAATCTGCTCTGTCTAAAGGAAGGTTCAACTCTGTGAGTTGAATACACACACACAAAGAAGCTACTGAGAATTCTTTTGTCAAGAATTATAAGACGAAATCCCGTTTCCAACGAAGGCCTCAAAGAGTTCCAAATATCCACTTGCACACTGTACAAACTAAGTTTTTCCAAACTGCTCTATGCAAAGAAATGTTCAACTCTGTGAGTTTAATACACACATCACAAAGCAGTTTCTGAGAATGATTACTGTCTAGTTTTTATACGAAGATATTTCCTTTTGTACCATTGGCCTCATACTGCTAGAATTTTCCACTTGCAAATTCCACAAAAAGAGTGTTTCCAATCCGCTCTGTCTAAAGGAAGGTTCAACTCTCTGATTTGAATACATACATCCCAAAAGAAGTTACTGAGAATTCTTCTGTCTAGCATTATGTGAAGAAATCCCGTTTCCAACGAAAGCCTCAAAGAGGTCCAAATATCCAGTTGCAGAATTTACAAACTGACTGTTTCCAAACTCATCTATGAAAAGAAAGGTTAAACTCTGGGAGTTGAATGCACATATCACAAAGTAGTTCCTGAGAATGATTCTGTCTAGTTTTTATACAAAGATATTTCCTTTTCCACCAATGGCCTCAAAGTGCTTGAAATCTCCCCTTGCAAATTCCACAGAAAAGTGTTTCAAATCTGCACTGTCTGAAGGAAGGTTCAACCCTGTGAGTTGAAAACACACACACAGAAAAAAATTCACTGAGAATTCTATTGTCTATCATTACACGAAGAAATCCCGTTTACTACGAAGGCCTCAAAGAGGTCCAAATATCCAGCTGCAGACATTACAACCTGAGTGTTTCCAAAGTGCTCTATGAAAAGAAGTGTTAAACACTGTGAGTTCAATGCACACATCCCAAAGCAGTTTCTGAGAATGATTCCGTCTATTTTTTCTACGAAGATATTTCCTTTTCTGCCGTTGGCCTCAAAGCGCTTGAAATCTCCACTTGCAAATTCCACAAAAAGAGAGTTTCAAATCTGCTCTGTCTAAAGGAAGGTTCAACTCTGTGAGTTGAATACACACCACAAAAAGAAGTTACTGAGAATTCTTCTGTCTAGCATTATATGAAAAATCCCGTTTCCAACGAAGGCCACAAAGAGGTCCAAATATCCACTTGCAGATTCTGCAAAAAGAGTGTTTCCAAACTGCTCTATGAAAAGAAACGTTAAACTCTGTGAGTTGAACGCAAACATCACAAAGTAGTTTCTGAGAATGACTCCGTCTAGTTTTTATACGAAGATATTTCCTTTCCTACCATTCACTTCAAAGCGCTTGAAGTCTCCCCCTGAAAATTCCACAAAAAGTGTTTCCAATCTGCTCCGCCTAAAGGAAGCTTCAACTCTGTGACTTGAATACCCACAACCCAAAGAAGTTACTGAGAATTCTTCTGTCTAGCACTATATGAAGAAATCCCGTTTCCAACGAAGGCCTCAAATACATCCAAATATCCAGTTGCTGACTTTACAAACTGAGTGTTTCCAAACTGCTCTATGAAAAGAAAGGTTAAACACTGTGAGTTGAACACACACGTACCAAAGTAGTTTCTGAGAATGATTCTGTCTAGTTTGCATACGAAGATATTTCCTTTTCTACCATTGGCCTCAAAGCTTTGAAATCTCCACTTGCAAATTCCACAAAAAGAGAGTTTCAACTCTGCTGTTTCTAAAGGAAAGTTCAACTCTGAGAGTTGAATACACACCAGAAAAAGCAGTTACTGAGAAGTCTTCTGTCTAGCATTATATGAAGAAATCCCATTTCCAACGAAGACTTCAAAGAGGTCCAAATATCCACTTGCAGATTCTGCAAAAAGAGTGTTTCGAAACAACTCTATGAAAAGAAAGGTTAAACACTGTGAGTTGAACGCACACATTGCAAAGCAGTTTCTGAGAATGATTCCGTCTAATTATTATACGAAGGTATTTCCTTTTCTATCATTGGCCTCAAAGCGCTTGATACCTCCACCTGAAAATTCCACAAAAAGAGTGTTTCCAATCTACTCTGTCTAAAGGAACGTTCAACTCTGTGAGTTGAATACACACACACAGAAAGAATTCACTGAGAATTCTTCTGTCTGGCATTACATGAAGAAATCCCGTTTCCAACGAAGGCCTCAAAGAGGTCCAAATATCCACTTGCAGATTCTGCAAAAAGAGTGTTTCAAAACCGCTCCATTAAAAGGAATGTTGAACTCTGTGAGTGGAATGGAAACATCACAACTCAGTTGCTGAGAATGCTTCTGACTAGATTTTATGGTAAGATATTTCCTTTTCTACCGTAGGCTTCAATGCCCTCTAAATACACCCTTGCAAATTCTACAAAGAGACTGTTTCATAACTGCTCTATAGGAAGAAAGGTTGAACTCTGTGAGTTGACTGCAGAGATCACAACGTGGTTTCTGCGAATGATTCTTTGTAGTTTTTACATGAAGATATTTCGTTGTCAACCGTAGGCTTCAAAGCACTCAAAGTATTCACTTGGAACTTTTACAAAAAGAGTGTTAGAAAACTGCTCTTTCCAAAGTAAGGTTCAACTCTGTGAGTTGAATGCACACATAACAATCAAGAAGTTTCTGAGAATTCTTCTGTCCTGGTTTATATGAAAAAATCCCGTTTCCAACGAAGGCCTCAAAGACGTTTAAATATCCACTTGCAGACTTCACAAACAGAGGGTTTCCAAACTGCTCTATGAAAAGAAAGGTTAAACTCTGTGAGTTGAACGCACACATCACAAAGTAGCTTCCTGAGAATGATACTGTCTAGTTTTTATACGAAGATATTTCCTTTCTACCATTGGCGTCAAAGCGCTAGGAATTCTCCACTTGCAAATTCCACAAAAAGAGTGTTTTCAATCTGCTCTGTCTAAAGGAAGGTTCAACTCTGTGAGTTGAATACACACACACAAAGAAGCTACTGAGAATTCTTTTGTCAAGAATTATAAGAAGAAATCCCGTTTCCAACGAAGGCCTCAAAGAGTTCCAAATATCCACTTGCACACTGCACAAACTAAGTCTTTCCAAACTGCTCTATGCAAAGAAATGTTCAACTCTGTGAGTTTAATACACACATCACAAAGCAGTTTCTGAGAATGATACTGTCTAGTTTTTATACGAAGATATTTCCTTTTGTACCATTGGCCTCATACTGCTAGAATTTTCCACTTGCAAATTCCACAAAAAGAGTGTTTCCAATCCGCTCTGTCTAAAGGAAGGTTCAACTCTCTGATTTGAATACATACATCCCAAAAGAAGTTACTGAGAATTCTTCTGTCTAGCATTATGTGAAGAAATCCCGTTTCCAACGAAAGCCTCAAAGAGGTCCAAATATCCAGTTGCAGAATTTACAAACTGACTGTTTCCAAACTCATCTATGAAAAGAAAGGTTAAACTCTGGGAGTTGAATGCACATATCACAAAGTAGTTCCTGAGAATGATTCTGTCTAGTTTTCATACGAAGATATTTCCTTTTCCACCAATGGCCTCAAAGTGCTTGAAATCTCCCCTTTCAAATTCCACAGACAAGTGTTTCAAATCTGCACTGTCTAAAGGAAGGTTCAACCCTGTGAGTTGAATACACACACACAGAAAAAAATTCACTGAGAATTCTATTGTCTATCATTACACGAAGAAATCCCGTTTACTACGAAGGCCTCAAAGAGGTCCAAATATCCAGCTGCAGACATTACAAACTGAGTGTTTCCAAAGTGCTCTATGAAAAGAAGTGTTAAACACTGTGAGTTCAATGCACACATCCCAAAGCAGTTTCTGAGAATGATTCCGTCTATTTTTTCTACGAAGATATTTCCTTTTCTGCCGTTGGCCTCAAAGCGCTTGAAATCTCCACTTGCAAATTCCACAAAAAGAGAGTTTCAAATCTGCTCTGTCTAAAGGAAGGTTCAACTCTGTGAGTTGAATACACACCACAAAAAGAAGTTACTGAGAATTCTTCTGTCTAGCATTATATGAAAAATCCCGTTTCCAACGAAGGCCACAAAGAGGTCCAAATATCCACTTGCAGATTCTGCAAAAAGAGTGTTTCCAAACTGCTCTATGAAAAGAAACGTTAAACTCTGTGAGTTGAACGCAAACATCACAAAGTAGTTTCTGAGAATGACTCCGTCTAGTTTTTATACGAAGATATTTCCTTTCCTACCATTCACTTCAAAGCGCTTGAAGTCTCCCCCTGAAAATTCCACAAAAAGTGTTTCCAATCTGCTCCGCCTAAAGGAAGCTTCAACTCTGTGACTTGAATACCCACAACCCAAAGAAGTTACTGAGAATTCTTCTGTCTAGCATTATATGAAGAAATCCCGTTTCCAACGAAGGCCTCAAATACATCCAAATATCCAGTTGCTGACTTTACAAACTGAGTGTTTCCAAACTGCTCTATGAAAAGAAAGGTTAAACACTGTGAGTTGAACACACACGTACCAAAGTAGTTTCTGAGAATGATTCTGTCTAGTTTGCATACGAAGATATTTCCTTTTCTACCATTGGCCTCAAAGCTCTGAAATCTCCACTTGCAAATTCCACAAAAAGAGAGTTTCAAATCTGCTGTTTCTAAAGGAAAGTTCAACTCTGAGAGTTGAATACACACCAGAAAAAGCAGTTACTGAGAAGTCTTCTGTCTAGCATTATATGAAGAAATCCCATTTCCAACGAAGACTTCAAAGAGGTCCAAATATCCACTTGCAGATTCTGCAAAAAGAGTGTTTCGAAACAACTGTATGAAAAGAAAGGTTAAACACTGTGAGTTGAACGCACACATTGCAAAGCGGTTTCTGAGAATGATTCCGTCTAATTATTATACGAAGGTATTTCCTTTTCTATCATTGGCCTCAAAGCGCTTGATACCTCCACCTGAAAATTCCACAAAAAGAGTGTTTCCAATCTACTCTGTCTAAAGGAACGTTCAACTCTGTGAGTTGAATACACACACACAGAAAGAATTCACTGAGAATTCTTCTGTCTGGCATTACATGAAGAAATCCCGTTTCCAACGAAGGCCTCAAAGAGGTCCAAATATCCACTTGCAGATTCTGCAAAAAGAGTGTTTCAAAACCGCTCCATGAAAAGGAATGTTGAACTCTGTGAGTTGAATGCAAACATCACAACTCAGTTGCTGAGAATGCTTCTGACTAGATTTTATGGTAAGATATTTCCTTTTCTACCGTAGGCTTCAATGCCCTCTAAATACACCCTTGCAAATTCTACAAAGAGACTGTTTCATAACTGCTCTATAGGAAGAAAGGTTGAACTCTGTGAGTTGACTGCAGAGATCACAACGTGGTTTCTGCGAATGATTCTTTGTAGTTTTTACATGAAGATATTTCGTTGTCAACCGTAGGCTTCAAAGCACTCAAAGTATTCACTTGGAACTTTTACAAAAAGAGTGTTAGAAAACTGCTCTTTCCAAAGTAAGGTTCAACTCTGTGAGTTGAATGCACACATAACAATCAAGAAGTTTCTGAGAATTCTTCTGTCCTGGTTTATATGAAAAAATCCCGTTTCCAACGAAGGCCTCAAAGACGTTTAAATATCCACTTGCAGACTTCACAAACAGAGGGTTTCCAAACTGCTCTATGAAAAGAAAGGTTAAACTCTGTGAGTTTAATACACACATCACAAAGGAGTTTCTAAGAATGATACTGTCTAGTTTTTATACGAAGATATTTCCTTTCTACCATTGGCGTCAAAGCGCTAGAATTCTCCACTTGCAAATTCCACAAAAAGAGTGTTTCCAATCCGCTCTGTCTAAAGGAAAGTTCAACTCTCTGATTTGAATACATACATCCCAAAAGAAGTTACTGAGAATTCTTCTGTCTAGCATTATGTGAAGAAATCCCGTTTCCAACGAAAGCCTCAAAGAGGTCCAAATATCCAGTTGCAGAATTTACAAACTGACTGTTTCCAAACTCATCTATGAAAAGAAAGGTTAAACTCTGTGAGTTGAATGCACATATCACAAAGTAGTTCCTGAGAATGATTCTGTCTAGTTTTTATACGAAGATATTTCCTTTTCCACCAATGGCCTCAAAGTGCTTGAAATCTCCCCTTGCAAATTCCACAGACAAGTGTTTCAAATCTGCACTGTCTAAAGGAAGGTTCAACCCTGTGAGTTGAATACACACACACAGAAAAAAATTCACTGAGAATTCTATTGTCTATCATTACACGAAGAAATCCCGTTTACTACGAAGGCCTCAAAGAGGTCCAAATATCCAGCTGCAGACATTACAAACTGAGTGTTTCCAAAGTGCTCTATGAAAAGAAGTGTTAAACACTGTGAGTTCAATGCACACATCCCAAAGCAGTTTCTGAGAATGATTCCGTCTATTTTTTCTACGAAGATATTTCCTTTTCTGCCGTTGGCCTCAAAGCGCTTGAAATCTCCACTTGCAAATTCCACAAAAAGAGAGTTTCAAATCTGCTCTGTCTAAAGGAAGGTTCAACTCTGTGAGTTGAATACACACCACAAAAAGAAGTTACTGAGAATTCTTCTGTCTAGCATTATATGAAAAATCCCGTTTCCAACGAAGGCCACAAAGAGGTCCAAATATCCACTTGCAGATTCTGCAAAAAGAGTGTTTCCAAACTGCTCTATGAAAAGAAACGTTAAACTCTGTGAGTTGAACGCAAACATCACAAAGTAGTTTCTGAGAATGACTCCGTCTAGTTTTTATACGAAGATATTTCCTTTCCTACCATTCACTTCAAAGCGCTTGAAGTCTCCCCCTGAAAATTCCACAAAAAGTGTTTCCAATCTGCTCCGCCTAAAGGAAGCTTCAACTCTGTGAGTTGAATACCCACAACCCAAAGAAGTTACTGAGAATTCTTCTGTCTAGCATTATATGAAGAAATCCCGTTTCCAACGAAGGCCTCAAATACATCCAAATATCCAGTTGCTGACTTTACAAACTGAGTGTTTCCAAACTGCTCTATGAAAAGAAAGGTTAAACACTGTGAGTTGAACACACACGTACCAAAGTAGTTTCTGAGAATGATTCTGTCTAGTTTGCATACGAAGATATTTCCTTTCTACCATTGGCGTCAAAGCGCTAGAATTCTCCACTTGCAAATTCCACAAAAAGAGTGTTTCCAATCTGCTCTGTCTAAAGGAAGGTTCAACTCTGTGAGTTGAATACACACACACAAAGAAGCTACTGAGAATTCTTTTGTCAAGAATTATAAGAAGAAATCCCGTTTCCAACGAAGGCCTCAAAGAGTTCCAAATATCCACTTGCACACTGCACAAACTAAGTCTTTCCAAACTGCTCTATGCAAAGAAATGTTCAACTCTGTGAGTTTAATACACACATCACAAAGCAGTTTCTGAGAATGATACTGTCTAGTTTTTATACGAAGATATTTCCTTTTGTACCATTGGCCTCATACTGCTAGAATTTTCCACTTGCAAATTCCACAAAAAGAGTGTTTCCAATCCGCTCTGTCTAAAGGAAGGTTCAACTCTCTGATTTGAATACATACATCCCAAAAGAAGTTACTGAGAATTCTTCTGTCTAGCATTATGTGAAGAAATCCCGTTTCCAACGAAAGCCTCAAAGAGGTCCAAATATCCAGTTGCAGAATTTACAAACTGACTGTTTCCAAACTCATCTATGAAAAGAAAGGTTAAACTCTGTGAGTTGAATGCACATATCACAAAGTAGTTCCTGAGAATGATTCTGTCTAGTTTTTATACGAAGATATTTCCTTTTCCACCAATGGCCTCAAAGTGCTTGAAATCTCCCCTTGCAAATTCCACAGACAAGTGTTTCAAATCTACACTGTCTAAAGGAAGGTTCAACCCTGTGAGTTGAATACACACGCACAGAAAAAAATTCACTGAGAATTCTATTGTCTATCATTACACGAAGAAATCCCGTTTACTACGAAGGCCTCAAAGAGGTCTAAATATCCAGCTGCAGACATTACAAACTGAGTGTTTCCAAAGTGCTCTATGAAAAGAAGTGTTAAACACTGTGAGTTCAATGCACACATCCCAAAGCAGTTTCTGAGAATGATTCCGTCTATTTTTTCTACGAAGATATTTCCTTTTCTACCGTTGGCCTCAAAGCGCTTGAAATCTCCACTTGCAAATTCCACAAAAAGAGAGTTTCAAATCTGCTCTGTCTAAAGGAAGGTTCAACTCTGTGAGTTGAATACACACCACAAAAAGAAGTTACTGAGAATTCTTCTGTCTAGCATTATATGAAAAATCCCGTTTCCAACGAAGGCCACAAAGAGGTCCAAATATCCACTTGCAGATTCTGCAAAAAGAGTGTTTCCAAACTGCTCTATGAAAAGAAACGTTAAACTCTGTGAGTTGAACGCAAACATCACAAAGTAGTTTCTGAGAATGACTCCGTCTAGTTTTTATACGAAGATATTTCCTTTTCTACCATTCACTTCAAAGCGCTTGAAGTCTCACCCTGAAAATTCCACAAAAAGTGTTTCCAATCTGCTCCGCCTAAAGGAAGCTTCAACTCTGTGAGTTGAATACCCACAACCCAAAGAAGTTACTGAGAATTCTTCTGTCTAGCACTATATGAAGAAATCCCGTTTCCAACGAAGGCCTCAAATACATCCAAATATCCAGTTGCTGACTTTACAAACTGAGTGTTTCCAAACTGCTCTATGAAAAGAAAGGTTAAACACTGTGAGTTGAACACACACGTACCAAAGTAGTTTCTGAGAATGATTCTGTCTAGTTTGCATACGAAGATATTTCCTTTTCTACCATTGGCCTCAAAGCTTTGAAATCTCCACTTGCAAATTCCACAAAAAGAGAGTTTCAACTCTGCTGTTTCTAAAGGAAAGTTCAACTCTGAGAGTTGAATACACACCAGAAAAAGCAGTTACTGAGAAGTCTTCTGTCTAGCATTATATGAAGAAATCCCATTTCCAACGAAGACTTCAAAGAGGTCCAAATATCCACTTGCAGATTCTGCAAAAAGAGTGTTTCGAAACAACTGTATGAAAAGAAAGGTTAAACACTGTGAGTTGAACGCACACATTGCAAAGCAGTTTCTGAGAATGATTCTGTCTAATTATTATACGAAGGTATTTCCTTTTCTATCATTGGCCTCAAAGCGCTTGATACCTCCACCTGAAAATTCCACAAAAAGAGTGTTTCCAATCTACTCTGTCTAAAGGAACGTTCAACTCTGTGAGTTGAATACACACACACAGAAAGAATTCACTGAGAATTCTTCTGTCTGGCATTACATGAAGAAATCCCGTTTCCAACGAAGGCCTCAAAGAGGTCCAAATATCCACTTGCAGATTCTGCAAAAAGAGTGTTTCAAAACCGCTCCATTAAAAGGAATGTTGAACTCTGTGAGTTGAATGCAAACATCACAACTCAGTTTCTGAGAATGCTTCTGACTAGATTTTATGGTAAGATATTTCCTTTTCTACCGTAGGCTTCAATGCCCTCTAAATACACCCTTGCAAATTCTACAAAGAGACTGTTTCATAACTGCTCTATAGGAAGAAAGGTTCAACACTGTGAGTTGAATGCAGAGATCACAACGTGGTTTCTGCGAATGATTCTTTGTAGTTTTTACATGAAGATATTTCGTTGTCAACCGTAGGCTTCAAAGCACTCAAAGTATTCACTTGGAACTTTTACAAAAAGAGTGTTAGAAAACTGCTCTTTCCAAAGTAAGGTTCAACTCTGTGAGTTGAATGCACACATAACAATCAAGAAGTTTCTGAGAATTCTTCTGTCCTGGTTTATATGAAAAAATCCCGTTTCCAACGAAGGCCTCAAAGACGTTTAAATATCCACTTGCAGACTTCACAAACAGAGGGTTTCCAAACTGCTCTATGAAAAGAAAGGTTAAACTCTGTGAGTTGAACGCACACATCACAAAGTAGCTTCTGAGAATGATACTGTCTAGTTTTTATACGAAGATATTTCCTTTCTACCATTGGCGTCAAAGCGCTAGAATTCTCCACTTGCAAATTCCACAAAAAGAGTGTTTCCAATCTGCTCTGTCTAAAGGAAGGTTCAACTCTGTGAGTTGAATACACACACACAAAGAAGCTACTGAGAATTCTTTTGTCAAGAATTATAAGAAGAAATCCCGTTTCCAACGAAGGCCTCAAAGAGTTCCAAATATCCACTTGCACACTGCACAAACTAAGTCTTTCCAAACTGCTCTATGCAAAGAAATGTTCAACTCTGTGAGTTTAATACGCACATCACAAAGCAGTTTCTGAGAATGATACTGTCTAGTTTTTATACGAAGATATTTCCTTTTGTACCATTGGCCTCATACTGCTAGAATTTTCCACTTGCAAATTCCACAAAAAGAGTGTTTCCAATCCGCTCTGTCTAAAGGAAGGTTCAACTCTCTGATTTGAATACATACATCCCAAAAGAAGTTACTGAGAATTCTTCTGTCTAGCATTATGTGAAGAAATCCCGTTTCCAATGAAAGCCTCAAAGAGGTCCAAATATCCAGTTGCAGAATTTACAAACTGACTGTTTCCAAACTCATCTATGAAAAGAAAGGTTGTACTCTGGGAGTTGAATGCACATATCACAAAGTAGTTCCTGAGAATGATTCTGTCTAGTTTTCATACGAAGATATTTCCTTTTCCACCAATGGCCTCAAAGTGCTTGAAATCTCCTCTTGCAAATTCCACAGACAAGTGTTTCAAATCTGCACTGTCTAAAGGAAGGTTCAACCCTGTGAGTTGAATACACACACACAGAAAAAAATTCACTGAGAATTCTATTGTCTATCATTACACGAAGAAATCCCGTTTACTACGAAGGCCTCAAAGAGGTCCAAATATCCAGCTGCAGACATTACAAACTGAGTGTTTCCAAAGTGCTCTATGAAAAGAAGTGTTAAACACTGTGAGTTCAATGCACACATCCCAAAGCAGTTTCTGAGAATGATTCCGTCTATTTTTTCTACGAAGATATTTCCTTTTCTGCCGTTGGCCTCAAAGCGCTTGAAATCTCCACTTGCAAATTCCACAAAAAGAGAGTTTCAAATCTGCTCTGTCTAAAGGAAGGTTCAACTCTGTGAGTTGAATACACACCACAAAAAGAAGTTACTGAGAAGTCTTCTGTCTAGCATTATATGAAAAATCCCGTTTCCAACGAAGGCCACAAAGAGGTCCAAATATCCACTTGCAGATTCTGCAAAAAGAGTGTTTCCAAACTGCTCTATGAAAAGAAACGTTAAACTCTGTGAGTTGAACGCAAACATCACAAAGTAGTTTCTGAGAATGACTCCGTCTAGTTTTTATACGAAGATATTTCCTTTCCTACCATTTACTTCAAAGCGCTTGAAGTCTCCCCCTGAAAATTCCACAAAAAGTGTTTCCAATCTGCTCTGCCTAAAGGAAGCTTCAACTCTGTGAGTTGAATACCCACAACCCAAAGAAGTTACTGAGAATTCTTCTGTCTAGCATTATATGAAGAAATCCCGTTTCCAACGAAGGCCTCAAATACATCCAAATATCCAGTTGCTGACTTTACAAACTGAGTGTTTCCAAACTGCTCTATGAAAAGAAAGGTTAAACACTGTGAGTTGAACACACACGTACCAAAGTAGTTTCTGAGAATGATTCTGTCTAGTTTGCATACGAAGATATTTCCTTTTCTACCATTGGCCTCAAAGCTCTGAAATCTCCACTTGCAAATTCCACAAAAAGAGAGTTTCAAATCTGCTGTTTCTAAAGGAAAGTTCAACTCTGAGAGTTGAATACACACCAGAAAAAGCAGTTACTGAGAAGTCTTCTGTCTAGCATTATATGAAGAAATCCCATTTCCAACGAAGACTTCAAAGAGGTCCAAATATCCACTTGCAGATTCTGCAAAAAGAGTGTTTCGAAACAACTGTATGAAAAGAAAGGTTAAACACTGTGAGTTGAACGCACACATTGCAAAGCGGTTTCTGAGAATGATTCCGTCTAATTATTATACGAAGGCATTTCCTTTTCTATCATGGGCCTCAAAGCGCTTGATACCTCCACCTGAAAATTCCACAAAAAGAGTGTTTCCAATCTACTCTGTCTAAAGGAACGTTCAACTCTGTGAGTTGAATACACACACACAGAAAGAATTCACTGAGAATTCTTCTGTCTGGCATTACATGAAGAAATCCCGTTTCCAACGAAGGCCTCAAAGAGGTCCAAATATCCACTTGCAGATTCTGCAAAAAGAGTGTTTCAAAACCGCTCTATTAAAAGGAATGTTGAACTCTGTGAGTTGAATGCAAACATCACAACTCAGTTTCTGAGAATGCTTCTGACTAGATTTTATGGTAAGATATTTCCTTTTCTACCGTAGGCTTCAATGCCCTCTAAATACACCCTTGCAAATTCTACAAAGAGACTGTTTAATAACTGCTCTATAGGAAGAAAGGTTGAACTCTGTGAGTTGAATGCAGAGATCACAACGTGGTTTCTGCGAATGATTCTTTGTAGTTTTTACATGAAGATATTTCGTTGTCTACCGTAGGCTTCAAAGCACTCAAAGTATTCACTTGGAACTTTTACAAAAAGAGTGTTAGAAAACTGCTCTTTCCAAAGTAAGGTTCAACTCTGTGAGTTGAATGCACACATAACAAACAAGAAGTTTCTGAGAATTCTTCTGTCCTGGTTTATATGAAGAAATCCCGTTTCCAACGAAGGCCTCAAAGACGTTTAAATATCCACTTGCACACTTCACAAACAGAGTGTTTCCAAACTGCTCTATGAAAAGAAAGGGTAAACACTGTGAGTTGAACGCACACATCACAAAGTAGTTTCTGAGAATGATACTGTCTAGTTTTTATACGAAGATATTTCCTTTTGTACCACTGGCCTCATACTGCTAGAATTTTCCACTTGCAAATTCCACAAAAAGAGAGTTTCCAATCTGCTCTGTCTAAAGGAAGGTTCAACTCTGTGAGTTGAGTACACACACACAAAGAAGCTACTGAGAATTCTTTTGTCAAGAATTATAAGAAGAAATCCCGTTTCCAACCAAGGCCTCAAAGAGTTCCAAATATCCACTTGCACACTGCACAAACTAAGTCTTTCCATACTGCTCTATGCAAAGAAATGTTCAAATCTGTGAGTTTAATACACACATCACAAAGCAGTTTCTGAGAATGATACTGTCTAGTTTTTATACGAAGATATTTCCTTTTGTACCATTGGCCTCATACTGCTAGAATTTTCCACTTGCAAATTCCACAAAAAGAGTGTTTCCAATCCGCTCTGTCTAAAGGAAGGTTCAACTCTCTGATTTGAATACATACATCCCAAAAGAAGTTACTGAGAATTCTTCTGTCTAGCATTATGTGAAGAAATCCCGTTTCCAACAAAAGCCTCAAAGAGGCCCAAATATCCAGTTGCAGCATTTACAAACTGACTGTTTCCAACTCATCTATGAAAAGAAATGTTAAACTCTGTGAGTTGAATGCGCATATCACAAAGTAGTTCCTGAGAATGATTCTGTATAGTTTTCATACGAAGATATTTCCTTTTCCACCAATGGCCTCAAAGTGCTTGAAATCTCCCCTTGCAAATTCCACAGACAAGTGTTTCAAATCTGCACTGTCTAAAGGATGGTTCAACCCTGTGAGTTGAATACACACACACAGAAAAAAATTCACTGAGAATTCTATTGTCTATCATTACACGAAGAAATCCCGTTTACTACGAAGGCCTCAAAGAGGTCCAAATATCCAGCTGCAGACATTACAAACTGAGTGTTTCCAAAGTGCTCTATGAAAAGAAGTGTTAAACACTGTGAGTTCAATGCACACATCCCAAAGCAGTTTCTGAGAATGATTCCGTCTATTTTTTCTACGAAGATATTTCCTTTTCTACCGTTGGCCTCAAAGCGCTTGAAATCTCCACTTGCAAATTCCACAAAAAGAGAGTTTCAAATCTGCTCTGTCTAAAGGAAGGTTCAACTCTGTGAGTTGAATACACACCACAAAAAGAAGTTACTGAGAATTCTTCTGTCTAGCATTATATGAAAAATCCCGTTTCTAACGAAGGCCACAAAGAGGTCCAAATATCCACTTGCAGATTCTGCAAAAAGAGTGTTTCCAAACTGCTCTATGAAAAGAAACGTTAAACTCTGTGAGTTGAACGCAAACATCACAAAGTAGTTTCTGAGAATGACTCCGTCTAGTTTTTATACGAAGATATTTCCTTTCCTACCATTCACTTCAAAGCGCTTGAAGTCTCCCCCTGAAAATTCCACAAAAAGTGTTTCCAATCTGCTCCGCCTAAAGGAAGCTTCAACTCTGTGAGTTGAATACCCACAACCCAAAGAAGTTACTGAGAATTCTTCTGTCTAGCATTATATGAAGAAATCCCGTTTCCAACGAAGGCCTCAAATACATCCAAATATCCAGTTGCTGACTTTACAAACTGAGTGTTTCCAAACTGCTCTATGAAAAGAAAGGTTAAACACTGTGAGTTGAACACACACGTACCAAAGTAGTTTCTGAGAATGATTCTGTCTAGTTTGCATACGAAGATATTTCCTTTTCTACCATTGGCCTCAAAGCTCTGAAATCTCCACTTGCAAATTCCACAAAAAGAGAGTTTCAAATCTGCTGTTTCTAAAGGAAAGTTCAACTCTGAGAGTTGAATACACACCAGAAAAAGCAGTTACTGAGAAGTCTTCTGTCTAGCATTATATGAAGAAATCCCATTTCCAACGAAGACTTCAAAGAGGTCCAAATATCCACTTGCAGGTTCTGCAAAAAGAGTGTATCGAAACAACTGTATGAAAAGAAAGGTTAAACGCTGTGAGTTGAAGGCACACTTTGCAAAGCAGTTTCTGAGAATGATTCCGTCTAATTATTATACGAAGGTATTTCCTTTTCTATCATTGGCCTCAAAGCGCTTGATACCTCCACCTGAAAATTCCACAAAAAGAGTGTTTCCAATCTACTCTGTCTAAAGGAACGTTCAACTCTGTGAGTTGAATACACACACACAGAAAGAATTCACTGAGAATTCTTCTGTCTGGCATTACATGAAGAAATCCCGTTTCCAACGAAGGCCTCAAAGAGGTCCAAATATCCACTTGCAGATTCTGCAAAAAGAGTGTTTCAAAACCGCTCCATTAAAAGGAATGTTGAACTCTGTGAGTTGAATGCAAACATCACAACTCAGTTTCTGAGAATGCTTCTGACTAGTTTTTATGGTCAGATATTTCCTTTTCTACCGTAGGCTTCAATGCCCTCTAAATACACCCTTGCAAATTCTACAAAGAGACTGTTTAATAACTGCTCTATAGGAAGAAAGGTTGAACTCTGTGAGTTGAATGCAGAGATCACAACGTGGTTTCGGCGAATGATTCTTTGTAGTTTTTACATGAAGATATTTCGTTGTCAACCGTAGGCTTCAAAGCACTCAAAGTATTCACTTGGAACTTTTACAAAAAGAGTGTTAGAAAACTGCTCTTTCCAAAGTAAGGTTCAACTCTGTGAGTTGAATGCACACATAACAATCAAGAAGTTTCTGAGAATTCCTCTGTCCTGGTTTATATGAAAAAATCCCGTTTCCAACGAAGGCCTCAAAGACGTTTAAATATCCACTTGCAGACTTCACAAACAGAGTGTTTCCAAACTGCTCTATGAAAAGAAAGGTTAAACTCTGTGAGTTGAACGCACACATCACAAAGTAGTTTCTGAGAATGATACTGTCCAGTTTTTATACGAAGAGATTTCCTTTCCTACCATTGGCGTCAAAGCGCTAGAATTCTCCACTTGCAAATTCCACAGAAAGAGAGTTTCCAATCTGCTCTGCCTAAAGGCAGGTTCAACTCTGTGAGTTGAATACACACACACAAGGAAGCTACTGAGAATTATTTTGTCAAGAATTATAAGAAGAAATCCCGTTTCCAATGAAGGCCTCAAAGAGTTCCAAATATCCACTTGCACACTGCACAAACTAAGTCTTTCCAAACTGCTCTATGCAAAGAAATGTTCAACTCTGTGAGTTTAATACACACATCACAAAGCAGTTTCTGAGAATGATACTGTCTAGTTTTTATACGAAGATATTTCCTTTTGTACCATTGGCCTCATACTGCTAGAATTTTCCACTTGCAAATTCCACAAAAAGAGTGTTTCCAATCCGCTCTGTCTAAAGGAAAGTTCAACTCTCTGATTTGAATACATACATCCCAAAAGAAGTTACTGAGAATTCTTCTGTCTAGCATTATGTGAAGAAATCCCGTTTCCAACGAAAGCCTCAAAGAGGTCCAAATATCCAGTTGCAGAATTTACAAACTGACTGTTTCCAAACTCATCTATGAAAAGAAAGGTTAAACTCTGTGAGTTGAATGCAATATCACAAAGTAGTTCCTGAGAATGATTCTGTCTAGTTTTTATACGAACATATTTCCTTTTCCACCACTGGCCTCAAGGTGCTTGAAATCTCCCCTTGCAAATTCCACAAAAAGAGTTTCAAATCTGCACTGTCTAAAGGAAAGTTCAACCCTGTGAGTTGAATACACACACAAAAAAAAATTCACTGAGAATTCTATTGTCTATCATTACACGAAGAAATCCCGTTTACTACGAAGGCCTCAAGGAGGTCCAAATATCCAGCTGCAGACATTACAAACTGAGTGTTTCCAAAGTGCTCTATGAAAAGAAGTGTTAAACACTGTGAGTTCAATGCACACATCCCAAAGCAGTTTCTGAGAATGATTCCGTCTATTTTTTCTACGAAGATATTTCCTTTTCTGCCGTTGGCCTCAAAGCGCTTGAAATCTCCACTTGCAAATTCCACAAAAAGAGAGTTTCAAATCTGCTCTGTCTAAAGGAAGGTTCAACTCTGTGAGTTGAATACACACCACAAAAAGAAGTTACTGAGAATTCTTCTGTCTAGCATTATATGAAAAATCCCGTTTCCAACGAAGGCCACAAAGAGGTCCAAATATCCACTTGCAGATTCTGCAAAAAGAGTGTTTCCAAACTGCTCTATGAAAAGAAACGTTAAACTCTGTGAGTTGAACGCAAACATCACAAAGTAGTTTCTGAGAATGACTCCGTCTAGTTTTTATACGAAGATATTTCCTTTCCTACCATTCACTTCAAAGCGCTTGAAGTCTCCCCCTGAAAATTCCACAAAAAGTGTTTCCAATCTGCTCCGCCTAAAGGAAGCTTCAACTCTGTGACTTGAATACCCACAACCCAAAGAAGTTACTGAGAATTCTTCTGTCTAGCATTATATGAAGAAATCCCGTTTCCAACGAAGGCCTCAAATACATCCAAATATCCAGTTGCTGACTTTACAAACTGAGTGTTTCCAAACTGCTCTATGAAAAGAAAGGTTAAACACTGTGAGTTGAACACACACGTACCAAAGTAGTTTCTGAGAATGATTCTGTCTAGTTTGCATACGAAGATATTTCCTTTTCTACCATTGGCCTCAAAGCTCTGAAATCTCCACTTGCAAATTCCACAAAAAGAGAGTTTCAACTCTGCTGTTTCTAAAGGAAAGTTCAACTCTGAGAGTTGAATACACACCAGAAAAAGCAGTTACTGAGAAGTCTTCTGTCTAGCATTATATGAAGAAATCCCATTTCCAACGAAGACTTCAAAGAGGTCCAAATATCCACTTGCAGATTCTGCAAAAAGAGTGTTTCGAAACAACTGTATGAAAAGAAAGGTTAAACACTGTGAGTTGAACGCACACATTGCAAAGCGGTTTCTGAGAATGATTCCGTCTAATTATTATACGAAGGTATTTCCTTTTCTATCATTGGCCTCAAAGCGCTTGATACCTCCACCTGAAAATTCCACAAAAAGAGTGTTTCCAATCTACTCTGTCTAAAGGAACGTTCAACTCTGTGAGTTGAATACACACACACAGAAAGAATTCACTGAGAATTCTTCTGTCTGGCATTACATGAAGAAATCCCGTTTCCAACGAAGGCCTCAAAGAGGTCCAAATATCCACTTGCAGATTCTGCAAAAAGAGTGTTTCAAAACCGCTCCATTAAAAGGAATGTTGAACTCTGTGAGTTGAATGCAAACATCACAACTCAGTTTCTGAGAATGCTTCTGACTAGATTTTATGGTAAGATATTTCCTTTTCTACCGTAGGCTTCAATGCCCTCTAAATACACCCTTGCAAATTCTACAAAGAGACTGTTTCATAACTGCTCTATAGGAAGAAAGGTTCAACTCTGTGAGTTGAATGCAGAGATCACAACGTGGTTCTGCGAATGATTCTTTGTAGTTTTTACATGAAGGATATTTCGTTGTCAACCGTAGGCTTCAAAGCACTCAAAGTATTCACTTGGAACTTTTACAAAAAGAGTGTTAGAAAACTGCTCTTTCCAAAGTAAGGTTCAACTCTGTGAGTTGAATGCACACATAACAATCAAGAAGTTTCTGAGAATTCTTCTGTCCTGGTTTATATGAAAAAATCCCGTTTCCAACGAAGGCCTCAAAGACGTTTAAATATCCACTTGCAGACTTCACAAACAGAGGGTTTCCAAACTGCTCTATGAAAAGAAAGGTTAAACTCTGTGAGTTGAACGCACACATCACAAAGTAGCTTCTGAGAATGATACTGTCTAGTTTTTATACGAAGATATTTCCTTTCTACCATTGGCGTCAAAGCGCTAGAATTCTCCACTTGCAAATTCCACAAAAAGAGTGTTTCCAATCTGCTCTGTCTAAAGGAAGGTTCAACTCTGTGAGTTGAATACACACACACAAAGAAGCTACTGAGAATTCTTTTTTCAAGAAATTATAAGAAGAAATCCCGTTTCCAACGAAGGTCTCAAAGAGTTCCAAATATCCACTTGCACACTGCACAAACTAAGTCTTTCCAAACTGCTCTATGCAAAGAAATGTTCAACTCTGTGAGTTTAATACACACATCACAAAGCAGTTTCTGAGAATGATACTGTCTAGTTTTTATACGAAGATATTTCCTTTTGTACCATTGGCCTCATACTGCTAGAATTTTCCACTTGCAAATTCCACAAAAAGAGTGTTTCCAATCCGCTCTGTCTAAAGGAAGGTTCAACTCTCTGATTTGAATACATACATCCCAAAAGAAGTTACTGAGAATTCTTCTGTCTAGCATTATGTGAAGAAATCCCGTTTCCAACGAAAGCCTCAAAGAGGTCCAAATATCCAGTTGCAGAATTTACAAACTGACTGTTTCCAAACTCATCTATGAAAAGAAAGGTTAAACTCTGGGAGTTGAATGCACATATCACAAAGTAGTTCCTGAGAATGATTCTGTCTAGTTTTCATACGAAGATATTTCCTTTTCCACCAATGGCCTCAAAGTGCTTGAAATCTCCCCTTGCAAATTCCACAGACAAGTGTTTCAAATCTGCACTGTCTAAAGGAAGGTTCAACCCTGTGAGTTGAATACACACACACAGAAACAAATTCACTGAGAATTCTATTGTCTATCATTACACGAAGAAATCCCGTTTACTACGAAGGCCTCAAAGAGGTCCAAATATCCAGCTGCAGACATTACAAACTGAGTGTTTCCAAAGTGCTCTATGAAAAGAAGTGTTAAACACTGTGAGTTCAATGCACACATCCCAAAGCAGTTTCTGAGAATGATTCCGTCTATTTTTTCTACGAAGATATTTCCTTTTCTGCCGTTGGCCTCAAAGCGCTTGAAATCTCCACTTGCAAATTCCACAAAAAGAGAGTTTCAAATCTGCTCTGTCTAAAGGAAGGTTCAACTCTGTGAGTTGAATACACACCACAAAAAGAAGTTACTGAGAATTCTTCTGTCTAGCATTATATGAAAAATCCCGTTTCCAACGAAGGCCACAAAGAGGTCCAAATATCCACTTGCAGATTCTGCAAAAAGAGTGTTTCCAAACTGCTCTATGAAAAGAAACGTTAAACTCTGTGAGTTGAACGCAAACATCACAAAGTAGTTTCTGAGAATGACTCCGTCTAGTTTTTATACGAAGATATTTCCTTTCCTACCATTCACTTCAAAGCGCTTGAAGTCTCCCCCTGAAAATTTCACAAAAAGTGTTTCCAATCTGCTCCGCCTAAAGGAAGCTTCAACTCTGTGAGTTGAATACCCACAACCCAAAGAAGTTACTGAGAATTCTTCTGTCTAGCATTATATGAAGAAATCCCGTTTCCAACGAAGGCCTCAAATACATCCAAATATCCAGTTGCTGACTTTACAAACTGAGTGTTTCCAAACTGCTCTATGAAAAGAAAGGTTAAACACTGTGAGTTGAACACACACGTACCAAAGTAGTTTCTGAGAATGATTCTGTCTAGTTTGCATACGAAGATATTTCCTTTTCTACCATTGGCCTCAAAGCTCTGAAATCTCCACTTGCAAATTCCACAAAAAGAGAGTTTCAAATCTGCTGTTTCTAAAGGAAAGTTCAACTCTGAGAGTAGAATACACACCAGAAAAAGCAGTTACTGAGAAGTCTTCTGTCTAGCATTATATGAAGAAATCCCATTTCCAACGAAGACTTCAAAGAGGTCCAAATATCCACTTGCAGATTCTGCAAAAAGAGTGTTTCGAAACAACTGTATGAAAAGAAAGGTTAAACACTGTGAGTTGAACGCACACATTGCAAAGCAGTTTCTGAGAATGATTCCGTCTAATTATTATACGAAGGTATTTCCTTTTCTATCATTGGCCTCAAAGCGCTTGATACCTCCACCTGAAAATTCCACAAAAAGAGTGTTTCCAATCTACTCTGTCTAAAGGAACGTTCAACTCTGTGAGTTGAATACACACACACAGAAAGAATTCACTGAGAATTCTTCTGTCTGGCATTACATGAAGAAATCCCGTTTCCAACGAAGGCCTCAAAGAGGTCCAAATATCCACTTGCAGATTCTGCAAAAAGAGTGTTTCAAAACCGCTCCATTAAAAGGAATGTTGAACTCTGTGAGTTGAATGCAAACATCACAACTCAGTTGCTGAGAATGCTTCTGACTAGATTTTATGGTAAGATATTTCCTTTTCTACCGTAGGCTTCAATGCCCTCTAAATACACCCTTGCAAATTCTACAAAGAGACTGTTTCATAACTGCTCTATAGGAAGAAAGGTTGAACTCTGTGAGTTGAATGCAGAGATCACAACGTGGTTTCTGCGAATGATTCTTTGTAGTTTTTACATGAAGATATTTCGTTGTCAACCGTAGGCTTCAAAGCACTCAAAGTATTCACTTGGAACTTTTACAAAAAGAGTGTTAGAAAACTGCTCTTTCCAAAGTAAGGTTCAACTCTGTGAGTTGAATGCACACATAACAATCAAGAAGTTTCTGAGAATTCTTCTGTCCTGGTTTATATGAAGAAATCCCGTTTCCAACGAAGGCCTCAAAGACGTTTAAATATCCACTTGCAGACTTCACAAACAGAGTGTTTCCAAACTGCTCTATGAAAAGAAAGGTTAAACTCTGTGAGTTGAACGCACACATCACAAAATAGTTTCTGAGAATGATACTGTCTAGTTTTTATACGAAGATATTTCCTTTCTACCATTGGCGTCAAAGCGCTAGAATTCTCCACTTGCAAATTCCACAAAAAGAGTGTTTCCAATCTGCTCTGTCTAAAGGAAGGTTCAACTCTGTGAGTTGAATACACACACACAAAGAAGCTACTGAGAATTCTTTTGTCAAGAATTATAAGAAGAAATCCCGTTTCCAACGAAGGCCTCAAAGAGTTCCAAATATCCACTTGCACACTGCACAAACTAAGTCTTTCCAAACTGCTCTATGCAAAGAAATGTTCAACTCTGTGAGTTTAATACACACATCACAAAGCAGTTTCTGAGAATGATACTGTCTAGTTTTTATACGAAGATATTTCCTTTTGTACCATTGGCCTCATACTGCTAGAATTTTCCACTTGCAAATTCCACAAAAAGAGTTTTTCCAATCCGCTCTGTCTAAAGGAAGGTTCAACTCTCTGATTTGAATACATACATCCCAAAAGAAGTTACTGAGAATTCTTCTGTCTAGCATTATGTGAAGAAATCCCGTTTCCAACGAAAGCCTCAAAGAGGTCCAAATATCCAGTTGCAGAATTTACAAACTGACTGTTTCCAAACTCATCTATGAAAAGAAAGGTTAAACTCTGTGAGTTGAATGCACATATCACAAAGTAGTTCCTGAGAATGATTCTGTCTAGTTTTCATACGAAGATATTTCCTTTTCCACCAATGGCCTCAAAGTGCTTGAAATCTCCCCTTGCAAATTCCACAGACAAGTGTTTCAAATCTGCACTGTCTAAAGGAAGGTTCAACCCTGTGAGTTGAATACACACACACACAGAAAAAAATTCACTGAGAATTCTATTGTCTATCATTACACGAAGAAATCCCGTTTACTACGAAGGCCTCAAAGAGGTCCAAATATCCAGCTGCAGACATTACAAACTGAGTGTTTCCAAAGTGCTCTATGAAAAGAAGTGTTAAACACTGTGAGTTCAATGCACACATCCCAAAGCAGTTTCTGAGAATGATTCCGTCTATTTTTTCTACGAAGATATTTCCTTTTCTGCCGTTGGCCTCAAAGCGCTTGAAATCTCCACTTGCAAATTCCACAAAAAGAGAGTTTCAAATCTGCTCTGTCTAAAGGAAGGTTCAACTCTGTGAGTTGAATACACACCACAAAAAGAAGTTACTGAGAATTCTTCTGTCTAGCATTATATGAAAAATCCCGTTTCCAACGAAGGCCACAAAGAGGTCCAAATATCCACTTGCAGATTCTGCAAAAAGAGTGTTTCCAAACTGCTCTATGAAAAGAAACGTTAAACTCTGTGAGTTGAACGCAAACATCACAAAGTAGTTTCTGAGAATGACTCCGTCTAGTTTTTATACGAAGATATTTCCTTTCCTACCATTCACTTCAAAGCGCTTGAAGTCTCCCCCTGAAAATTCCACAAAAAGTGTTTCCAATCTGCTCCGCCTAAAGGAAGCTTCAACTCTGTGAGTTGAATACCCACAACCCAAAGAAGTTACTGAGAATTCTTCTGTCTAGCATTATATGAAGAAATCCCGTTTCCAACGAAGGCCTCAAATACATCCAAATATCCAGTTGCTGACTTTACAAACTGATTGTTTCCAAACTGCTCTATGAAAAGAAAGGTTAAACACTGTGAGTTGAACACACACGTACCAAAGTAGTTTCTGAGAATGATTCTGTCTAGTTTGCATACGAAGATATTTCCTTTTCTACCATTGGCCTCAAAGCTCTAAAATCTCCACTTGCAAATTCCACAAAAAGAGAGTTTCAACTCTGCTGTTTCTAAAGGAAAGTTCAACTCTGAGAGTTGAATACACACCAGAAAAAGCAGTTACTGAGAAGTCTTCTGTCTAGCATTATATGAAGAAATCCCATTTCCAACGAAGACTTCAAAGAGGTCCAAATATCCACTTGCAGATTCTGCAAAAAGAGTGTTTCGAAACAACTGTATGAAAAGAAAGGTTAAACACTGTGAGTTGAACGCACACATTGCAAAGCAGTTTCTGAGAATGATTCCGTCTAATTATTATACGAAGGTATTTCCTTTTCTATCATGGGCCTCAAAGAGCTTGATACCTCCACCTGAAAATTCCACCAAAAGAGTGTTTCCAATCTACTCTGTCTAAAGGAACGTTGAACTCTGTGAGTTGAATACACACACACAGAAAGAATTCACTGAGAATTCTTCTGTCTGGCATTACATGAAGAAATCCCGTTTCCAACGAAGGCCTCAAAGAGGTCCAAATATCCACTTGCAGATTCTGCAAAAAGAGTGTTTCAAAACCGCTCTATTAAAAGGAATGTTGAACTCTGTGAGTTGAATGCAAACATCACAACTCAGTTTCTGAGAATGCTTCTGACTAGATTTTATGGTAAGATATTTCCTTTTCTACCGTAGGCTTCAATGCCCTCTAAATACACCCTTGCAAATTCTACAAAGAGACTGTTTAATAACTGCTCTATAGGAAGAAAGGTTGAACTCTGTGAGTTGAATGCAGAGATCACAACGTGGTTTCTGCGAATGATTCTTTGTAGTTTTTACATGAAGATATTTCGTTGTCTACCGTAGGCTTCAAAGCACTCAAAGTATTCACTTGGAACTTTTACAAAAAGAGTGTTAGAAAACTGCTCTTTCCAAAGTAAGGTTCAACTCTGTGAGTTGAATGCACACATAACAAACAAGAAGTTTCTGAGAATCCTTCTGTCCTGGTTTATAGGAAAAAATCCCGTTTCCAACGAAGGCCTCAAAGACGTTTAAATATCCACTTGCAGACTTCACAAACAGAGTGTTTCCAAACTGCTCTATGAAAAGAAAGGTTAAACTCTGTGAGTTGAACGCACACATCACAAAGTAGTTTCTGAGAATGATACTGTCTAGTTTTTATACGAAGATATTTCCTTTCTACCATTGGCGTCAAAGCGCTAGAATTCTCCACTTGCAAATTCCACAAAAAGAGTGTTTCCAATCTGCTCTGTCTAAAGGAAGGTTCAACTCTGTGAGTTGAATACACACACACAAAGAAGCTACTGAGAATTCTTTTGTCAAGAATTATAAGAAGAAATCCCGTTTCCAACGAAGGCCTCAAAGAGTTCCAAATATCCACTTGCACACTGCACAAACTAAGTCTTTCCAAACTGCTCTATGCAAAGAAATGTTCAACTCTGTGAGTTTAATACACACATCACAAAGCAGTTTCTGAGAATGATACTGTCTAGTTTTTATACGAACATATTTCCTTTTGTACCATTGGCCTCATACTGCTAGAATTTTCCACTTGCAAATTCCACAAAACGAGTGTTTCCAATCCGCTCTGTCTAAAGGAAGGTTCAACTCTCTGATTTGAATACATACATCCCAAAAGAAGTTACTGAGAATTCTTCTGTCTAGCATTATGTGAAGAAATCCCGTTTCCAACGAAAGCCTCAAAGAGGTCCAAATATCCAGTTGCAGAATTTACAAACTGACTGTTTCCAAACTCATGTATGAAAAGAAAGGTTAAACTCTGTGAGTTGAATGCACATATCACAAAGTAGTTCCTGAGAATGATTCTGTCTAGTTTTTATACGAAGATATTTCCTTTTCCACCAATGGCCTCAAAGTGCTTGAAATCTCCCCTTGCAAATTCCACAGACAAGTGTTTCAAATCTGCACTGTCTAAAGGAAGGTTCAACCCTGTGAGTTGAATACACACACACAGAAAAAAATTCACTGAGAATTCTATTGTCTATCATGACACGAAGAAATCCCGTTTACTACGAAGGCCTCAAAGAGGTCCAAATATCCAGCTGCAGACATTACAAACTGAGTGTTTCCAAAGTGCTCTATGAAAAGAAGTGTTAAACACTGTGAGTTCAATGCACACATCCCAAAGCAGTTTCTGAGAATGATTCCGTCTATTTTTTCTACGAAGATATTTCCTTTTCTGCCGTTGGCCTCAAAGCGCTTGAAATCTCCACTTGCAAATTCCACAAAAAGAGAGTTTCAAATCTGCTCTGTCTAAAGGAAGGTTCAACTCTGTGAGTTGAATACACACCACAAAAAGAAGTTACTGAGAATTCTTCTGTCTAGCATTATATGAAAAATCCCGTTTCCAACGAAGGCCACAAAGAGGTCCAAATATCCACTTGCAGATTCTGCAAAAAGAGTGTTTCCAAACTGCTCTATGAAAAGAAACGTTAAACTCTGTGAGTTGAACGCAAACATCACAAAGTAGTTTCTGAGAATGACTCCGTCTAGTTTTTATACGAAGATATTTCCTTTCCTACCATTCACTTCAAAGCGCTTGAAGTCTCCCCCTGAAAATTCCACAAAAAGTGTTTCCAATCTGCTCCGCCTAAAGGAAGCTTCAACTCTGTGACTTGAATACCCACAACCCAAAGAAGTTACTGAGAATTCTTCTGTCTAGCATTATATGAAGAAATCCCGTTTCCAACGAAGGCCTCAAATACATCCAAATATCCAGTTGCTGACTTTACAAACTGAGTGTTTCCAAACTGCTCTATGAAAAGAAAGGTTAAACACTGTGAGTTGAACACACACGTACCAAAGTAGTTTCTGAGAATGATTCTGTCTAGTTTGCATACGAAGATATTTCCTTTTCTACCATTGGCCTCAAAGCTCTGAAATCTCCACTTGCAAATTCCACAAAAAGAGAGTTTCAAATCTGCTGTTTCTAAAGGAAAGTTCAACTCTGAGAGTTGAATACACACCAGAAAAAGCAGTTACTGAGAAGTCTTCTGTCTAGCATTATATGAAGAAATCCCATTTCCAACGAAGACTTCAAAGAGGTCCAAATATCCACTTGCAGATTCTGCAAAAAGAGTGTTTCGAAACAACTGTATGAAAAGAAAGGTTAAACACTGTGAGTTGAACGCACACATTGCAAAGCAGTTTCTGAGAATGATTCCGTCTAATTATTATACGAAGGTATTTCCTTTTCTATCATTGGCCTCAAAGCGCTTGATACCTCCACCTGAAAATTCCACAAAAAGAGTGTTTCCAATCTACTCTGTCTAAAGGAACGTTCAACTCTGTGAGTTGAATACACACACACAGAAAGAATTCACTGAGAATTCTTCTGTCTGGCATTACATGAAGAAATCCCGTTTCCAACTGAAGGCCTCAAAGAGGTCCAAATATCCACTTGCAGATTCTGCAAAAAGAGTGTTTCAAAACCGCTCCATTAAAAGGAATGTTGAACTCTGTGAGTTGAATGCAAACATCACAACTCAGTTGCTGAGAATGCTTCTGACTAGATTTTATGGTAAGATATTTCCTTTTCTACCGTAGGCTTCAATGCCCTCTAAATACACCCTTGCAAATTCTACAAAGGACTGTTTCATAACTGCTCTATAGGAAGAAAGGTTCAACTCTGTGAGTTGAATGCAGAGATCACAACGTGGTTTCTGCGAATGATTCTTTGTAGTTTTTAAATGAAGATATTTCGTTGTCAACCGTAGGCTTCAAAGCACTCAAAGTATTCACTTGGAACTTTTACAAAAAGAGTGTTAGAAAACTGCTCTTTCCAAAGTAAGGTTCAACTCTGTGAGTTGAATGCACACATAACAATCAAGAAGTTTCTGAGAATTCTTCTGTCCTGGTTTATATGAAAAAATCCCGTTTCCAACGAAGGCCTCAAAGACGTTTAAATATCCACTTGCAGACTTCACAAACAGAGGGTTTCCAAACTGCTCCATGAAAAGAAAGGTTAAACTCTGTGAGTTGAACGCACACATCACAAAGTAGCTTCTGAGAATGATACTGTCTAGTTTGCATACGAAGATATTTCCTTTCTACCATTGGCGTCAAAGCGCTAGAATTCTCCACTTGCAAATTCCACAAAAAGAGTGTTTCCAATCTGCTCTGTCTAAAGGAAGGTTCAACTCTGTGAGTTGAATACACACACACAAAGAAGCTACTGAGAATTCTTTTGTCAAGAATTATAAGAAGAAATCCCGTTTCCAACGAAGGCCTCAAAGAGTTCCAAATATCCACTTGCACACTGCACAAACTAAGTCTTTCCAAACTGCTCTATGCAAAGAAATGTTCAACTCTGTGAGTTTAATACACACATCACAAAGCAGTTTCTGAGAATGATACTGTCTAGTTTTTATACGAAGATATTTCCTTTTGTACCATTGGCCTCATACTGCTAGAATTTTCCACTTGCAAATTCCACAAAAAGAGAGTTTCCAATCCGCTCTGTCTAAAGGAAGGTTCAACTCTCTGATTTGAATACATACATCCCAAAAGAAGTTACTGAGAATTCTTCTGTCTAGCATTATGTGAAGAAATCCCGTTTCCAACGAAAGCCTCAAAGAGGTCCAAATATCCAGTTGCAGAATTTACAAACTGACTGTTTCCAAACTCATCTATGAAAAGAAAGGTTAAACTCTGTGAGTTGAATGCACATATCACAAAGTAGTTCCTGAGAATGATTCTGTCTAGTTTTTATACGAAGATATTTCCTTTTCCACCAATGGCCTCAAAGTGCTTGAAATCTCCCCTTGCAAATTCCACAGACAAGTGTCTCAAATCTGCACTGTCTAAAGGAAGGTTCAACCCTGTGAGTTGAATACACACACACAGAAAAAAATTCACTGAGAATTCTATTGTCTATCATTACACGAAGTAAATCCCGTTTACTACGAAGGCCTCAAAGAGGTCCAAATATCCAGCTGCAGACATTACAAACTGAGTGTTTCCAAAGTGCTCTATGAAAAGAAGTGTTAAACACTGTGAGTTCAATGCACACATCCCAAAGCAGTTTCTGAGAATGATTCCGTCTATTTTTTCTACGAAGATATTTCCTTTTCTACCGTTGGCCTCAAAGCGCTTGAAATCTCCACTTGCAAATTCCACAAAAAGAGAGTTTCAAATCTGCTCTGTCTAAAGGAAGGTTCAACTCTGTGAGTTGAATACACACCACAAAAAGAAGTTACTGAGAATTCTTCTGTCTAGCATTATATGAAAAATCCCGTTTCCAACGAAGGCCACAAAGAGGTCCAAATATCCACTTGCAGATTCTGCAAAAAGAGTGTTTCCAAACTGCTCTATGAAAAGAAACGTTAAACTCTGTGAGTTGAACGCAAACATCACAAAGTAGTTTCTGAGAATGACTCCGTCTAGTTTTTATACGAAGATATTTCCTTTCCTACCATTCACTTCAAAGCGCTTGAAGTCTCCCCCTGAAAATTCCACAAAAAGTGTTTCCAATCTGCTCCGCCTAAAGGAAGCTTCAACTCTGTGACTTGAATACCCACAACCCAAAGAAGTTACTGAGAATTCTTCTGTCTAGCATTATATGAAGAAATCCCGTTTCCAACGAAGGCCTCAAATACATCCAAATATCCAGTTGCTGACTTTACAAACTGAGTGTTTCCAAACTGCTCTATGAAAAGAAAGGTTAAACACTTGTGAGTTGAACACACACGTACCAAAGTAGTTTCTGAGAATGATTCTGTCTAGTTTGCATACGAAGATATTTCCTTTTCTACCATTGGCCTCAAAGCTCTGAAATCTCCACTTGCAAATTCCACAAAAAGAGAGTTTCAAATCTGCTGTTTCTAAAGGAAAGTTCAACTCTGAGAGTTGAATACACACCAGAAAAAGCAGTTACTGAGAAGTCTTCTGTCTAGCATTATATGAAGAAATCCCATTTCCAAAGAAGACTTCAAACAGGTCCAAATATCCACTTGCAGATTCTGCAAAAAGAGTGTTTCGAAACAACTGTATGAAAAGAAAGGTTAAACGCTGTGAGTTGAAGGCACACATTGCAAAGCAGTTTCTGAGAATGATTCCGTCTAATTATTATACGAGGTATTTCCTTTTCTATCATTGGCCTCAAAGCGCTTGATACCTCCACCTGAAAATTCCACAAAAAGAGTGTTTCCAATCTACTCTGTCTAAAGGAACGTTCAACTCTGTGAGTTGAATACACACACACAGAAAGAATTCACTGAGAATTCTTCTGTCTGGCATTACATGAAGAAATCCCGTTTCCAACGAAGGCCTCAAAGAGGTCCAAATATCCACTTGCAGATTCTGCAAAAAGAGTGTTTCAAAACCGCTCCATTAAAAGGAATGTTGAACTCTGTGAGTTGAATGCAAACATCACAACTCAGTTTCTGAGAATGCTTCTGACTAGATTTTATGGTAAGATATTTCCTTTTCTACCGTAGGCTTCAATGCCCTCTAAATACACCCTTGCAAATTCTACAAAGAGACTGTTTCATAACTGCTCTATAGGAAGAAAGGTTCAACACTGTGAGTTGAATGCAGAGATCACAACGTGGTTTCTGCGAATGATTCTTTGTAGTTTTTACATGAAGATATTTCGTTGTCAACCGTAGGCTTCAAAGCACTCAAAGTATTCACTTGGAACTTTTACAAAAAGAGTGTTAGAAAACTGCTCTTTCCAAAGTAAGGTTCAACTCTGTGAGTTGAATGCACACATAACAATCAAGAAGTTTCTGAGAATTCTTCTGTCCTGGTTTATATGAAAAAATCCCGTTTCCAACGAAGGCCTCAAAGACGTTTAAATATCCACTTGCAGACTTCACAAACAGAGGGTTTCCAAACTGCTCTATGAAAAGAAAGGTTAAACTCTGTGAGTTTAATACACACATCACAAAGCAGTTTCTGAGAATGATACTGTCTAGTTTTTATACGAAGATATTTCCTTTTGTACCATTGGCCTCATACTGCTAGAATTTTCCACTTGCAAATTCCACAAAAAGAGTGTTTCCAATCCGCTCTGTCTAAAGGAAGGTTCAACTCTCTGATTTGAATACATACATCCCAAAAGAAGTTACTGAGAATTCTTCTGTCTAGCATTATGTGAAGAAATCCCGTTTCCAACGAAAGCCTCAAAGAGGTCCAAATATCCAGTTGCAGAATTTACAAACTGACTGTTTCCAAACTCATCTATGAAAAGAAAGGTTAAACTCTGTGAGTTGAATGCACATATCACAAAGTAGTTCCTGAGAATGATTCTGTCTAGTTTTTATACGAAGATATTTCCTTTTCCACCAATGGCCTCAAAGTGCTTGAAATCTCCCCTTGCAAATTCCACAGACAAGTGTTTCAAATCTGCACTGTCTAAAGGAAGGTTCAACCCTGTGAGTTGAATACACACACACAGAAAAAAATTCACTGAGAATTCTATTGTCTATCATTACACGAAGAAATCCCGTTTACTACGAAGGCCTCAAAGAGGTCCAAATATCCAGCTGCAGACATTACAAACTGAGTGTTTCCAAAGTGCTCTATGAAAAGAAGTGTTAAACACTGTGAGTTCAATGTACACATCCCAAAGCAGTTTCTGAGAATGATTCCGTCTATTTTTTCTACGAAGATATTTCCTTTTCTGCCGTTGGCCTCAAAGCGCTTGAAATCTCCACTTGCAAATTCCACAAAAAGAGAGTTTCAAATCTGCTCTGTCTAAAGGAAGGTTCAACTCTGTGAGTTGAATACACACCACAAAAAGAAGTTACTGAGAATTCTTCTGTCTAGCATTATATGAAAAATCCCGTTTCCAACGAAGGCCACAAAGAGGTCCAAATATCCACTTGCAGATTCTGCAAAAAGAGTGTTTCCAAACTGCTCTATGAAAAGAAACGTTAAACTCTGTGAGTTGAACGCAAACATCACAAAGTAGTTTCTGAGAATGACTCCGTCTAGTTTTTATACGAAGATATTTCCTTTCCTACCATTCACTTCAAAGCGCTTGAAGTCTCCCCCTGAAAATTCCACAAAAAGTGTTTCCAATCTGCTCCGCCTAAAGGAAGCTTCAACTCTGTGACTTGAATACCCACAACCCAAAGAAGTTACTTGAGAATTCTTCTGTCTAGCATTATATGAAGAAATCCCGTTTCCAACGAAGGCCTCAAATACATCCAAATATCCAGTTGCTGACTTTACAAACTGAGTGTTTCCAAACTGCTCTATGAAAAGAAAGGTTAAACACTGTGAGTTGAACACACACGTACCAAAGTAGTTTCTGAGAATGATTCTGTCTAGTTTGCATACGAAGATATTTCCTTTTCTACCAGTGGCCTCAAAGCTCTGAAATCTCCACTTGCAAATTCCACAAAAAGAGAGTTTCAAATCTGCTGTTTCTAAAGGAAAGTTCAACTCGGAGAGTTGAATACACACCAGAAAAAGCAGTTACTGAGAAGTCTTCTGTCTAGCATTATATGAAGAAATCCCATTTCCAACGAAGACTTCAAAGAGGTCCAAATATCCACTTGCAGATTCTGCAAAAAGAGTGTTTCGAAACAACTGTATGAAAAGAAAGGTTAAACACTGTGAGTTGAACGCACACATTGCAAAGCAGTTTCTGAGAATGATTCCCGTCTAATTATTATACGAAGGTATTTCCTTTTCTATCATTGGCCTCAAAGCGCTTGATACCTCCACCTGAAAATTCCACAAAAAGAGTGTTTCCAATCTACTCTGTCTAAAGGAACGTTCAACTCTGTGAGTTGAATACACACACACAGAAAGAATTCACTGAGAATTCTTCTGTCTGGCATTACATGAAGAAATCCCGTTTCCAACGAAGGCCTCAAAGAGGTCCAAATATCCACTTGCAGATTCTGCAAAAAGAGTGTTTCAAAACCGCTCCATTAAAAGGAATGTTGAACTCTGTGAGTTGAATGCAAACATCACAACTCAGTTGCTGAGAATGCTTCTGTCTAGTTTTTATGGTAAGATATTTCCTTTTCTACCGTAGGCTTCAATGCCCTCTAAATAAACCCTTGCAAATTCTACAAAGAGAGTGTTTCATAACTGCTCTATAGAAAGAAAGGTTGAACTCTGTGAGTTGAATGCACAGATCACAACGTGGTTTCTGCGAATGATTCTTTGTAGTTTTTACAGGAAGATATTTCATTGTCAACCGTAGGCTTCAAAGCACTCAAAGTATTCACTTGGAACTTTTACAAAAAGAGTGTTAGAAAACTGCTCTTTCCAAAGTAAGGTTCAACTCTGTGAGTTGAATGCACACATAACAATCAAGAAGTTTCTGAGAATTCTTCTGTCCTGGTTTATATGAAGAAATCCCGTTTCCAACTGAAGGCCTCAAAGACGTTTAAATATCCACTTGCAGACTTCACAAACAGAGGGTTTCCAAACTGCTCTATGAAAAGAAAGGTTAAACTCTGTGAGTTGAACGCACACATCACAAAGTAGCTTCTGAGAATGATACTGTCTAGTTTTTATACGAAGATATTTCCTTTCTACCATTGGCGTCAAAGCGCTAGAATTCTCCACTTGCAAATTCCACAAAAAGAGTGTTTCCAATCTGCTCTGTCTAAAGGAAGGTTCAACTCTGTGAGTTGAATACACACACACAAAGAAGCTACTGAGAATTCTTTTGTCAAGAATTATAAGAAGAAATCCCGTTTCCAACGAAGGCCTCAAAGAGTTCCAAATATCCACTTGCACACTGCACAAACTAAGTCTTTCCAAACTGCTCTATGCAAAGAAATGTTCAACTCTGTGAGTTTAATACACACATCACAAAGCAGTTTCTGAGAATGATACTGTCTAGTTTTTATACGAAGATATTTCCTTTTGTACCATTGGCCTCATACTGCTAGAATTTTCCACTTGCAAATTCCACAAAAAGAGTGTTTCCAATCCGCTCTGTCTAAAGGAAGGTTCAACTCTCTGATTTGAATACATACATCCCAAAAGAAGTTACTGAGAATTCTTCTGTCTAGCATTATGTGAAGAAATCCCGTTTCCAACGAAAGCCTCAAAGAGGTCCAAATATCCAGTTGCAGAATTTACAAACTGACTGTTTCCAAACTCATCTATGAAAAGAAAGGTTAAACTCTGGGAGTTGAATGCACATATCACAAAGTAGTTCCTGAGAATGATTCTGTCTAGTTTTTATACAAAGATATTTCCTTTTCCACCACTGCCCTCAAGGTGCTTGAAATCTCCCCTTGCAAATTCCACAAAAGTGTTTCAAATCTGCACTGTCTAAAGGAAGGTTCAAACCTGTGAGTTGAATACACACACACAAAAAAAATTCACTGAGAATTCTATTGTCTATCATTACACGAAGAAATCCCGATTACTACGAAGGCCTCAAAGAGGTCCAAATATCCAGCTGCAGACATGACAAACTGAGTGTTTCCAAAGTGCTCTATGAAAAGAAGTGTTAAACACTGTGAGTTCAATGCACACATCCCAAAGCAGTTTCTGAGAATGATTCCGTCTATTTTTTCTACGCAGATATTTCCTTTCCTACCGTTGGCCTCAAAGCGCTTGAAATCTCCACTTGCAAATTCCACAAAAAGAGAGTTTCAAATCTGCTCTGTCTAAAGGAAGGTTCAACTCTGTGAGTTGAATACACACCACAAAAAGAAGTTACTGAGAATTCTTCTGTCTAGCATTATATGAAAAATCCCGTTTCCAACGAAGGCCACAAAGAGGTCCAAATATCCACTTGCAGATTCTGCAAAAAGAGTGTTTCCAAACTGCTCTATGAAAAGAAACGTTAAACTCTGTGAGTTGAACGCAAACATCACAAAGTAGTTTCTGAGAATGACTCCGTCTAGTTTTTATACGAAGATATTTCCTTTCCTACCATTCACTTCAAAGCGCTTGAAGTCTCCCCCTGAAAATTCCACAAAAAGTGTTTCCAATCTGCTCCGCCTAAAGGAAGCTTCAACTCTGTGAGTTGAATACCCACAACCCAAAGAAGTTACTGAGAATTCTTCTGTCTAGCATTATATGAAGAAATCCCGTTTCCAACGAAGGCCTCAAATACATCCAAATATCCAGTTGCTGACTTTACAAACTGAGTGTTTCCAAACTGCTCTATGAAAAGAAAGGTTAAACACTGTGAGTTGAACACACACGTACCAAAGTAGTTTCTGAGAATGATTCTGTCTAGTTTGCATACGAAGATATTTCCTTTTCTACCATTGGCCTCAAAGCTCTGAAATCTCCACTTGCAAATTCCACAAAAAGAGAGTTTCAAATCTGCTGTTTCTAAAGGAAAGTTCAACTCTGAGAGTTGAATACACACCAGAAAAAGCAGTTACTGAGAAGTCTTCTGTCTAGCATTATATGAAGAAATCCCATTTCCAACGAAGACTTCAAAGAGGTCCAAATATCCACTTGCAGATTCTGCAAAAAGAGTGTTTCGAAACAACTGTATGAAAAGAAAGGTTAAACACTGTGAGTTGAACGCACACATTGCAAAGCAGTTTCTGAGAATGATTCCGTCTAATTATTATACGAAGGTATTTCCTTTTCTATCATTGGCCTCAAAGCGCTTGATACCTCCACCTGAAAATTCCACAAAAAGAGTGTTTCCAATCTACTCTGTCTAAAGGAACGTTCAACTCTGTGAGTTGAATACACACACACAGAAAGAATTCACTGAGAATTCTTCTGTCTGGCATTACATGAAGAAATCCCGTTTCCAACGAAGGCCTCAAAGAGGTCCAAATATCCACTTGCAGATTCTGCAAAAAGAGTGTTTCAAAACCGCTCCATTAAAAGGAATGTTGAACTCTGTGAGTTGAATGGAAACATCACAACTCAGTTGCTGAGAATGCTTCTGACTAGATTTTATGGTAAGATATTTCCTTTTCTACCGTAGGCTTCAATGCCCTCTAAATACACCCTTGCAAATTCTACAAAGAGACTGTTTCATAACTGCTCTATAGGAAGAAAGGTTGAACTCTGTGAGTTGACTGCAGAGATCACAACGTGGTTTCTGCGAATGATTCTTTGTAGTTTTTACATGAAGATATTTCGTTGTCTACCGTAGGCTTCAAAGCACTCAAAGTATTCACTTGGAACTTTTACAAAAAGAGTGTTAGAAAACTGCTCTTTCCAAAGTAAGGTTCAACTCTGTGAGTTGAATGCACACATAACAAACAAGAAGTTTCTGAGAATTCTTCTGTCCTGGTTTATATGAAAAAATCCCGTTTCCAACGAAGGCCTCAAAGACGTTTAAATATCCACTTGCAGACTTCACAAACAGAGTGTTTCCAAACTGCCCTATGAAAAGAAAGGTTAAACTCTGTGAGTTGAACGCACACATCACAAAGTAGTTTCTGAGAATGATACTGTCTAGTTTTTATACGAAGATATTTCCTTTTGTACCATTGGCCTCATACTGCTAGAATTTTCCACTTGCAAATTCCACAAAAAGAGTGTTTCCAATCTGCTCTGTCTAAAGGAAGGTTCAACTCTGTGAGTTGAGTACACACACACAAAGAAGCTACTGAGAATTCTTTTGTCAAGAATTATAAGAAGAAATCCCGTTTCCAACCAAGGCCTCAAAGAGTTCCAAATATCCACTTGCACACTGCACAAACTAAGTCTTTCCATACTGCTCTATGCAAAGAAATGTTCAAATCTGTGAGTTTAATACACACATCACAAAGCAGTTTCTGAGAATGATACTGTCTAGTTTTTATACGAAGATATTTCCTTTTGTACCATTGGCCTCATACTGCTAGAATTTTCCACTTGCAAATTCCACAAAAAGAGTGTTTCCAATCCGCTCTGTCTAAAGGAAGGTTCAACTCTCTGATTTGAATACATACATCCCAAAAGAAGTTACTGAGAATTCTTCTGTCTAGCATTATGTGAAGAAATCCCGTTTCCAACGAAAGCCTCAAAGAGGCCCAAATATCCAGTTGCAGCATTTACAAACTGACTGTTTCCAAACTCATCTATGAAAAGAAAGGTTAAACTCTGTGAGTTGAATGCACATATCACAAAGTAGTTCCTGAGAATGATTCTGTCTAGTTTTTATACGAAGATATTTCCTTTTCCACCAATGGCCTCAAAGTGCTTGAAATCTCCCCTTGCAAATTCCACAGACAAGTGTCTCAAATCTGCACTGTCTAAAGGAAGGTTCAACCCTGTGAGTTGAATACACACACACAGAAAAAAATTCACTGAGAATTCTATTGTCTATCATTACACGAAGAAATCCCGTTTACTACGAAGGCCTCAAAGAGGTCCAAATATCCAGCTGCAGACATTTCAAACTGAGTGTTTCCAAAGTGCTCTATGAAAAGAAGTGTTAAACACTGTGAGTTCAATGCACACATCCCAAAGCAGTTTCTGAGAATGATTCCGTCTATTTTTTCTACGAAGATATTTCCTTTTCTGCCGTTGGCCTCAAAGCGCTTGAAATCTCCACTTGCAAATTCCACAAAAAGAGAGTTTCAAATCTGCTCTGTCTAAAGGAAGGTTCAACTCTGTGAGTTGAATACACACCACAAAAAGAAGTTACTGAGAATTCTTCTGTCTAGCATTATATGAAAAATCCCGTTTCCAACGAAGGCCACAAAGAGGTCCAAATATCCACTTGCAGATTCTGCAAAAAGAGTGTTTCCAAACTGCTCTATGAAAAGAAACGTTAAACTCTGTGAGTTGAACGCAAACATCACAAAGTAGTTTCTGAGAATGACTCCGTCTAGTTTTTATACGAAGATATTTCCTTTCCTACCATTCACTTCAAAGCGCTTGAAGTCTCCCCCTGAAAATTCCACAAAAAGTGTTTCCAATCTGCTCCGCCTAAAGGAAGCTTCAACTCTGTGACTTGAATACCCACAACCCAAAGAAGTTACTGAGAATTCTTCTGTCTAGCATTATATGAAGAAATCCCGTTTCCAACGACGGCCTCAAATACATCCAAATATCCAGTTGCTGACTTTACAAACTGAGTGTTTCCAAACTGCTCTATGAAAAGAAAGGTTAAACACTGTGAGTTGAACACACACGTACCAAAGTAGTTTCTGAGAATGATTCTGTCTAGTTTGCATACGAAGATATTTCCTTTTCTACCATTGGCCTCAAAGCTCTGAAATCTCCACTTGCAAATTCCACAAAAAGAGAGTTTCAAATCTGCTGTTTCTAAAGGAAAGTTCAACTCTGAGAGTTGAATACACACCAGAAAAAGCAGTTACTGAGAAGTCTTCTGTCTAGCATTATATGAAGAAATCCCATTTCCAACGAAGACTTCAAAGAGGTCCAAATATCCACTTGCAGATTCTGCAAAAAGAGTGTTTCGAAACAACTGTATGAAAAGAAAGGTTAAACACTGTGAGTTGAACGCACACATTGCAAAGCAGTTTCTGAGAATGATTCCGTCTAATTATTATACGAAGGTATTTCCTTTTCTATCATTGGTCTCAAAGCGCTTGATACCTCCACCTGAAAATTCCACAAAAAGAGTGTTTCCAATCTACTCTGTCTAAAGGAACGTTCAACTCTGTGAGTTGAATACACACACACAGAAAGAATTCACTGAGAATTCTTCTGTCTGGCATTACATGAAGAAATCCCGTTTCCAACGAAGGCCTCAAAGAGGTCCAAATATCCACTTGCAGATTCTGCAAAAAGAGTGTTTCAAAACCGCTCCATTAAAAGGAATGTTGAACTCTGTGAGTTGAATGCAAACATCACAACTCAGTTTCTGAGAATGCTTCTGTCTAGTTTTTATGGTAAGATATTTCTTTTTCTACCGTAGGCTTCAACGCCCTCTAAATACACCCTTGCAAATTCTACAAAGAGAGTGTTTCATAACTGCTCTATAGAAATAAAGGTTGACACTGTGAGTTGAATGCACAGATCACAACGTGGTTTCTGCGAATGATTCTTTTTAGTTTTTACAGGAAGATATTTCATTGTCAAACGTAGGCTTCAAAGCACTCAAAGTATTCACTTGGAACTTTTACAAAAAGAGTGTTAGAAAACTGCTCTTTCCAAAGTAAGGTTCAACTCTGTGAGTTGAATGCACACATAAGAATGAAGAAGTTTCTGAGAATTCTTCTGTCCTGGTTTATATGAAAAAATCCCGTTTCCAACGAAGGCCTCAGAGACGTTTAAATATCCACTTGCAGACTTCACAAACAGAGTGTTTCCAAACTGCTCTATGAAAAGAAAGGTTAAACTCTGTGAGTTGAACGCACACATCACAAAGTTGTTTCTGAGAATGATACTGTCTAGTTTTTATACGAAGATATTTCCTTTCTACCATTGGCGTCAAAGCGCTAGAATTCTCCACTTGCAAATTCCACAAAAAGAGTGTTTCCAATCTGCTCTGTCTAAAGGAAGGTTCAACTCTGTGAGTTGAATACACACACACAAAGAAGCTACTGAGAATTCTTTTGTCAAGAATTATAAGAAGAAATCCCGTTTCCAACGAAGGCCTCAAAGAGTTCCAAATATCCACTTGCACACTGCAAAAACTAAGTCTTTCCAAACTGCTCTATGCAAAGAAATGTTCAACTCTGTGAGTTTAATTCACACATCACAAAGCAGTTTCTGAGAATGATACTGTCTAGTTTTTATACGAAGATATTTCCTTTTGTACCATTGGCCTCATACTGCTAGAATTTTCCACTTGCAAATTCCACAAAAAGAGTGTTTCCAATCCGCTCTGTCTAAAGGAAGGTTCAACTCTCTGCTTTGAATACATACATCCCAAAAGAAGTTACTGAGAATTCTTCTGTCTAGCATTATGTGAAGAAATCCCGTTTCCAACGAAAGCCTCAAAGAGGTCCAAATATCCAGTTGCAGAATTTACAAACTGACTGTTTCCAAACTCATCTATGAAAAGAAAGGTTAAACTCTGGGAGTTGAATGCCCATATCACAAAGTAGTTCCTGAGAATGATTCTGTCTAGTTTTCATACGAAGATATTTCCTTTTCCACCAATGGCCTCAAAGTGCTTGAAATCTCCCCTTGCAAATTCCACAGACAAGTGTTTCAAATCTGCACTGTCTAAAGGATGGTTCAACCCTGTGAGTTGAATACACACACACAGAAAAAAATTCACTGAGAATTCTATTGTCTATCATTACACGAAGAAATCCCGTTTACTACGAAGGCCTCAAAGAGGTCCAAATATCCAGCTGCAGACATTATAAACTGAGTGTTTCCAAAGTGCTCTATGAAAAGAAGTGTTAAACACTGTGAGTTCAATGCACACATCCCAAAGCAGTTTCTGAGAATGATTCCGTCTATTTTTTCTACGAAGATATTTCCTTTTCTGCCGTTGGCCTCAAAGCGCTTGAAATCTCCACTTGCAAATTCCACAAAAAGAGAGTTTCAAATCTGCTCTGTCTAAAGGAAGGTTCAACTTTGTGAGTTGAATACACACCACAAAAAGAAGTTACTGAGAATTCTTCTGTCTAGCATTATATGAAAAATCCCGTTTCCAACGAAGGCCACAAAGAGGTCCAAATATCCACTTGCAGATTCTGCAAAAAGAGTGTTTCCAAACTGCTCTATGAAAAGAAACGTTAAACTCTGTGAGTTGAACGCAAACATCACAAAGTAGTTTCTGAGAATGACTCCGTCTAGTTTTTATACGAAGATATTTCCTTTCCTACCATTCACTTCAAAGCGCTTGAAGTCTCCCCCTGAAAATTCCACAAAAAGTGTTTCCAATCTGCTCCGCCTAAAGGAAGCTTCAACTCTGTGACTTGAATACCCACAACCCAAAGAAGTTACTGAGAATTCTTCTGTCTAGCACTATATGAAGAAATCCCGTTTCCAACGAAGGCCTCAAATACATCCAAATATCCAGTTGCTGACTTTACAAACTGAGTGTTTCCAAACTGCTCTATGAAAAGAAAGGTTAAACACTGTGAGTTGAACACACACGTACCAAAGTAGTTTCTGAGAATGATTCTGTCTAGTTTGCATACGAAGATATTTCCTTTTCTACCATTGGCCTCAAAGCTCTGAAATCTCCACTTGCAAATTCCACAAAAAGAGAGTTTCAAATCTGCTGTTTCTAAAGGAAAGTTCAACTCTGAGAGTTGAATACACACCAGAAAAAGCAGTTACTGAGAAGTCTTCTGTCTAGCATTATATGAAGAAATCCCATTTCCAACGAAGACTTCAAAGAGGTCCAAATATCCACTTGCAGATTCTGCAAAAAGAGTGTTTCGAAACAACTGTATGAAAAGAAAGGTTAAACACTGTGAGTTGAACGCACACATTGCAAAGCGGTTTCTGAGAATGATTCCGTCTAATTATTATACGAAGGTATTTCCTTTTCTATCATTGGCCTCAAAGCGCTTGATACCTCCACCTGAAAATTCCACAAAAAGAGTGTTTCCAATCTACTCTGTCTAAAGGAACGTTCAACTCTGTGAGTTGAATACACACACACAGAAAGAATTCACTGAGAATTCTTCTGTCTGGCATTACATGAAGAAATCCCGTTTCCAACGAAGGCCTCAAAGAGGTCCAAATATCCACTTGCAGATTCTGCAAAAAGAGTGTTTCAAAACCGCTCCATTAAAAGGAATGTTGAACTCTGTGAGTTGAATGCAAACATCACAACTCAGTTTCTGAGAATGCTTCTGACTAGATTTTATGGTAAGATATTTCCTTTTCTACCGTAGGCTTCAATGCCCTGTAAATACACCCTTGCAAATTCTACAAAGAGACTGCTTCATAACTGCTCTATAGGAGGAAAGGTTCAACTCTGTGAGTTGAATGCAGAGATCACAACGTGGTTTCTGCGAATGATTCTTTGTAGTTTTTACATGAAGATATTTCGTTGTCTACCGTAGGCTTCAAAGCACTCAAAGTATTCACTTGGAACTTTCACAAAAAGAGTGTTAGAAAACTGCTCTTTCCAAAGTAAGGTTCAACTCTGTGAGTTGAATGCACACATAACAAACAAGAAGTTTCTGAGAATTCTTCTGTCCTGGTTTATATGAAGAAATCCCGTTTCCAACGAAGGCCTCAAAGACGTTTAAATATCCACTTGCAGACTTCACAAACAGAGTGTTTCCAAACTGCTCTATGAAAAGAAAGGGTAAACACTGTGAGTTGAACGCACACATCACAAAGTAGTTTCTGAGAATGATACTGTCTAGTTTTTATACGAAGATATTTCCTTTTGTACCATTGGCCTCATACTGCTAGAATTTTCCACTTGCAAATTCCACAAAAAGAGTGTTTCCAATCTGCTCTGTCTAAAGGAAGGTTCAACTCTGTGAGTTGAGTACACACACACAAAGAAGCTACTGAGAATTCTTTTGTCAAGAATTATAAGAAGAAATCCCGTTTCCAACCAAGGCCTCAAAGAGTTCCAAATATCCACTTGCACACTGCACAAACTAAGTCTTTCCATACTGCTCTATGCAAAGAAATGTTCAAATCTGTGAGTTTAATACACACATCACAAAGCAGTTTCTGAGAATGATACTGTCTAGTTTTTATACGAAGATATTTCCTTTTGTACCATTGGCCTCATACTGCTAGAATTTTCCACTTGCAAATTCCACAAAAAGAGTGTTTCCAATCCGCTCTGTCTAAAGGAAGGTTCAACTCTCTGATTTGAATACATACATCCCAAAAGAAGTTACTGAGAATTCTTCTGTCTAGCATTATGTGAAGAAATCCCGTTTCCAACGAAAGCCTCAAAGAGGCCCAAATATCCAGTTGCAGCATTTACAAACTGACTGTTTCCAAACTCATCTATGAAAAGAAAGGTTAAACTCTGTGAGTTGAATGCACATATCACAAAGTAGTTCCTGAGAATGATTCTGTCTAGTTTTTATACGAAGATATTTCCTTTTCCACCAATGGCCTCAAAGTGCTTGAAATCTCCCCTTGCAAATTCCACAGACAAGTGTCTCAAATCTGCACTGTCTAAAGGAAGGTTCAACCCTGTGAGTTGAATACACACACACAGAAAAAAATTCACTGAGAATTCTATTGTCTATCATTACACGAAGAAATCCCGTTTACTACGAAGGCCTCAAAGAGGTCCAAATATCCAGCTGCAGACATTACAAACTGAGTGTTTCCAAAGTGCTCTATGAAAAGAAGTGTTAAACACTGTGAGTTCAATGCACACATCCCAAAGCAGTTTCTGAGAATGATTCCGTCTATTTTTTCTACGAAGATATTTCCTTTTCTACCGTTGGCCTCAAAGCGCTTGAAATCTCCACTTGCAAATTCCACAAAAAGAGAGTTTCAAATCTGCTCTGTCTAAAGGAATGTTCAACTCTGTGAGTTGAATACACACCACAAAAAGAAGTTACTGAGAATTCTTCTGTCTAGCATTATATGAAAAATCCCGTTTCCAACGAAGGCCACAAAGAGGTCCAAATATCCACTTGCAGATTCTGCAAAAAGAGTGTTTCCAAACTGCTCTATGAAAAGAAACGTTAAACTCTGTGAGTTGAACGCAAACATCACAAAGTAGTTTCTGAGAATGACTCCGTCTAGTTTTTATACGAAGATATTTCCTTTTCTACCATTCACTTCAAAGCGCTTGAAGTCTCCCCCTGAAAATTCCACAAAAAGTGTTTCCAATCTGCTCCGCCTAAAGGAAGCTTCAACTCTGTGAGTTGAATACCCACAACCCAAAGAAGTTACTGAGAATTCTTCTGTCTAGCACTATATGAAGAAATCCCGTTTCCAACGAAGGCCTCAAATACATCCAAATATCCAGTTGCTGACTTTACAAACTGGGTGTTTCCAAACTGCTCTATGAAAAGAAAGGTTAAACACTGTGAGTTGAACACACACGTACCAAAGTAGTTTCTGAGAATGATTCTGTCTAGTTTGCATACGAAGATATTTCCTTTTCTACCATTGGCCTCAAAGCTTTGAAATCTCCACTTGCAAATTCCACAAAAAGAGAGTTTCAACTCTGCTGTTTCTAAAGGAAAGTTCAACTCTGAGAGTTGAATACACACCAGAAAAAGCAGTTACTGAGAAGTCTTCTGTCTAGCATTATATGAAGAAATCCCATTTCCAAAGAAGACTTCAAACAGGTCCAAATATCCACTTGCAGATTCTGCAAAAAGAGTGTTTCGAAACAACTGTATGAAAAGAAAGGTTAAACACTGTGAGTTGAACGCACCCATTGCAAAGCATTTTCTGACAATGATTGTCCGTCTAATTATTATACGAAGGTATTTCCTTTTCTATCATTGGCTTCAAAGCGCTTGATACCTCCACCTGAAAATTCCACAAAAAGAGTGTTTCCAATCTACTCTGTCTAAAGGAACGTTCAACTCTGTGAGTTGAATACACGCACACAGAAAGAATTCACTGAGAATTCTTCTGTCTGGCATTACATGAAGAAATCCCGTTTCCAACGAAGGCCTCAAAGAGGTCCAAATATCCACTTGCAGATTCTGCAAAAAGAGTGTTTCAAAACCGCTCCATTAAAAGGAATGTTGAACTCTGTGAGTTGAATGCAAACATCACAACTCAGTTGCTGAGAATGCTTCTGACTAGATTTTATGGTAAGATATTTCCTTTTCCACCGTAGGCTTCAATGCCCTGTAAATACACCCTTGCAAATTCAACAAAGAGACTGTTTCATAACTGCTCTATAGGACGAAAGGTTCAACTCTGTGAGTTGAATGCAGAGATCACAACGTGGTTTCTGCGAATGATTCTTTGTAGTTTTTACATGAAGATATTTCGTTGTCAACCGTAGGGTTCAAAGCACTCAAAGTATTCACTTGGAACTTTTACAAAAAGAGTGTTAGAAAACTGCTCTTTCCAAAGTAAGGTTCAACTCTGTGAGTTGAATGCACACATAACAATCAAGACGTTTCTGAGAATTCTTCTGTCCTGGTTTATATGAAAAAATCCCGTTTCCAACGAAGGCCTCAAAGACGTTTAAATATCCACTTGCAGACTTCACAAACAGAGTGTTTCCAAACTGCTCTATGAAAAGAAAGGTTAAACTCTGTGAGTTGAACGCACACATCACAAAGTAGCTTCTGAGAATGATACTGTCTAGTTTTTATACGAAGATATTTCCTTTCTACCATTGGCGTCAAAGCGCTAGAATTCTCCACTTGCAAATTCCACAAAAAGAGTGTTTCCAATCTGCTCTGTCTAAAGGAAGGTTCAACTCTGTGAGTTGAATACACACACACAAAGAAGCTACTGAGAATTCTTTTGTCAAGAATTATAAGAAGAAATCCCGTTTCCAACGAAGGCCTCAAAGAGTTCCAAATATCCACTTGCACACTGCACAAACTAAGTCTTTCCAAACTGCTCTATGCAAAGAAATGTTCAACTCTGTGAGTTTAATACACACATCACAAAGCAGTTTCTGAGAATGATACTGTCTAGTTTTTATACGAAGATATTTCCTTTTGTACCATTGGCCTCATACTGCTAGAATTTTCCACTTGCAAATTCCACAAAAAGAGTGTTTCCAATCCGCTCTGTCTAAAGGAAGGTTCAACTCTCTGATTTGAATACATACATCCCAAAAGAAGTTACTGAGAATTCTTCTGTCTAGCATTATGTGAAGAAATCCCGTTTCCAACGAAAGCCTCAAAGAGGTCCAAATATCCAGTTGCAGAATTTACAAACTGACTGTTTCCAAACTCATCTATGAAAAGAAAGGTTAAACTCTGGGAGTTGAATGCACATATCACAAAGTAGTTCCTGAGAATGATTCTGTCTGGTTTTTATACGAAGATGTTTCCTTATCCACCAATGGCCTCAAAGTCCTTGAAATCTCCCATTGCAAATTCCACAGAAAAGTGTTTCAAATCTGCACTGTCTGAAGGAAGGTTCAACCCTGTGAGTTGAATACACACACACAGAAAAAAATTCACTGACATTTCTATTGTCTATCATTACACGAAGAAATCCCGTTTACCACGAAGGCCTCAAAGAGGTCCAAATATCCAGCTGCAGACATTACAACCTGAGTGTTTCCAAAGTGCTCTATGAAAAGAAGTGTTAAACACTGTGAGTTCAATGCACACATCCCAAAGCAGTTTCTGAGAATGATTCCGTCTATTTTTTCTACGAAGATATTTCCTTTTCTGCCGTTGGCCTCAAAGCGCTTGAAATCTCCACTTGCAAATTCCACAAAGAGAGAGTTTCAAATCTGCTCTGTCTAAAGGAAGGTTCAACTCTGTGAGTTGAATACACACCACAAAAAGAAGTTACTGAGAATTCTTCTGTCTAGCATTATATGAAAAATCCCGTTTCCAACGAAGGCCACAAAGAGGTCCAAATATCCACTTGCAGATTCTGCAAAAAGAGTGTTTCCAAACTGCTCTATGAAAAGAAACGTTAAACTCTGTGAGTTGAACGCAAACATCACAAAGTAGTTTCTGAGAATGACTCCGTCTAGTTTTTATACGAAGATATTTCCTTTCCTACCATTCACTTCAAAGCGCTTGAAGTCTCCCCCTGAAAATTCCACAAAAAGTGTTTCCAATCTGCTCCGCCTAAAGGAAGCTTCAACTCTGTGACTTGAATACCCACAACCCAAAGAAGTTACTGAGAATTCTTCTGTCTAGCATTATATGAAGAAATCCCGTTTCCAACGAAGGCCTCAAATACATCCAAATATCCAGTTGCTGACTTTACAAACTGAGTGTTTCCAAACTGCTCTATGAAAAGAAAGGTTAAACACTGTGAGTTGAACACACACGTACCAAAGTAGTTTCTGAGAATGATTCTGTCTAGTTTGCATACGAAGATATTTCCTTTTCTACCATTGGCCTCAAAGCTCTGAAATCTCCACTTGCAAATTCCACAAAAAGAGAGTTTCAAATCTGCTGTTTCTAAAGGAAAGTTCAACTCTGAGAGTTGAATACACACCAGAAAAAGCAGTTACTGAGAAGTCTTCTGTCTAGCATTATATGAAGAAATCCCATTTCCAACGAAGACTTCAAAGAGGTCCAAATATCCACTTGCAGATTCTGCAAAAAGAGTGTTTCGAAACAACTGTATGAAAAGAAAGGTTAAACACTGTGAGTTGAACGCACACATTGCAAAGCAGTTTCTGAGAATGATTCCGTCTAATTATTATACGAAGGTATTTCCTTTTCTATCATTGGCCTCAAAGCGCTTGATACCTCCACCTGAAAATTCCACAAAAAGAGTGTTTCCAATCTACTCTGTCTAAAGGAACGTTCAACTCTGTGAGTTGAATACACACACACAGAAAGAATTCACTGAGAATTCTTCTGTCTGGCATTACATGAAGAAATCCCGTTTCCAACGAAGGCCTCAAAGAGGTCCAAATATCCACTTGCAGATTCTGCAAAAAGAGTGTTTCAAAACCGCTCCATTAAAAGGAATGTTGAACTCTGTGAGTTGAATGCAAACATCACAACTCAGTTTCTGAGAATGCTTCTGACTAGATTTTATGGTAAGATATTTCCTTTTCTACCGTAGGCTTCAATGCCCTCTAAATACACCCTTGCAAATTCTACAAAGAGACTGTTTCATAACTGCTCTATAGGAAGAAAGGTTCAACTCTGTGAGTTGAATGCAGAGATCACAACGTGGTTTCTGCAAATGATTCTTTGTAGTTTTTACATGAAGATATTTCGTTGTCAACCGTAGGCTTCAAAGCACTCAAAGTATTCACTTGGAACTTTTACAAAAAGAGTGTTAGAAAACTGCTCTTTCCAAAGTAAGGTTCAACTCTGTGAGTTGAATGCACACATAACAATCAAGAAGTTTCTGAGAATTCTTCTGTCCTGGTTTATATGAAAAAATCCCGTTTCCAACGAAGGCCTCAAAGACGTTTAAATATCCACTTGCAGACTTCACAAACAGAGTGTTTCCAAACTGCTCTATGAAAAGAAAGTTTAAACTCTGTGAGTTTAACGCACACATCACAAAGTAGCTTCTGAGAATGATACTGTCTAGTTTTTATACGAAGATATTTCCTTTCTACCATTGGCGTCAAAGCGCTAGAATTCTCCACTTGCAAATTCCACAAAAAGAGTGTTTCCAATCTGCTCTGTCTAAAGGAAGGTTCAACTCTGTGAGTTGAATACACACACACAAAGAAGCTACTGAGAATTCTTTTGTCAAGAATTATAAGAAGAAATCCCGTTTCCAACGAAGGCCTCAAAGAGTTCCAAATATCCACTTGCACACTGCACAAACTAAGTCTTTCCAAACTGCTCTATGCAAAGAAATGTTCAACTCTGTGAGTTTAATACACACATCACAAAGCAGTTTCTGAGAATGATACTGTCTAGTTTTTATACGAAGATATTTCCTTTTGTACCATTGGCCTCATACTGCTAGAATTTTCCACTTGCAAATTCCACAAAAAGAGTGTTTCCAATCCGCTCTGTCTAAAGGAAGGTTCAACTCTCTGATTTGAATACATACATCCCAAAAGAAGTTCCTGAGAATTCTTCTGTCTAGCATTATGTGAAGAAATCCCGTTTCCAACGAAAGCCTCAAAGAGGTCCAAATATCCAGTTGCAGAATTTACAAACTGACTGTTTCCAAACTCATCTATGAAAAGAAAGGTTAAACTCTGGGAGTTGAATGCACATATCACAAAGTAGTTCCTGAGAATGATTCTGTCTAGTTTTCATACGAAGATATTTCCTTTTCCACCAATGGCCTCAAAGTGCTTGAAATCTCCCCTTGCAAATTCCACAGACAAGTGTCTCAAATCTGCACTGTCTAAAGGAAGGTTCAACCCTGTGAGTTGAATACACACACACAGAAAAAAATTCACTGAGAATTCTATTGTCTATCATTACACGAAGAAATCCCGTTTACCACGAAGGCCTCAAAGAGGTCCAAATATCCAGCTGCAGACATTACAAACTGAGTGTTTCCAAAGTGCTCTATGAAAAGAAGTGTTAAACACTGTGAGTTCAATGCACACATCCCAAAGCAGTTTCTGAGAATGATTCCGTCTATTTTTTCTACGAAGATATTTCCTTTTCTGCCGTTGGCCTCAAAGCGCTTGAAATCTCCACTTGCAAATTCCACAAAAAGAGAGTTTCAAATCTGCTCTGTCTAAAGGAAGGTTCAACTCTGTGAGTTGAATACACACCACAAAAAGAAGTTACTGAGAATTCTTCTGTCTAGCATTATATGAAAAATCCCGTTTCCAACGAAGGCCACAAAGAGGTCCAAATATCCACTTGCAGATTCTGCAAAAAGAGTGTTTCCAAACTGCTCTATGAAAAGAAACGTTAAACTCTGTGAGTTGAACGCAAACATCACAAAGTAGTTTCTGAGAATGACTCCGTCTAGTTTTTATACGAAGATATTTCCTTTCCTACCATTCACTTCAAAGCGCTTGAAGTCTCCCCCTGAAAATTCCACAAAAAGTGTTTCCAATCTGCTCCGCCTAAAGGAAGCTTCAACTCTGTGACTTGAATACCCACAACCCAAAGAAGTTACTGAGAATTCTTCTGTCTAGCATTATATGAAGAAATCCCGTTTCCAACGAAGGCCTCAAATACATCCAAATATCCAGTTGCTGACTTTACAAACTGAGTGTTTCCAAACTGCTCTATGAAAAGAAAGGTTAAACACTGTGAGTTGAACACACACGTACCAAAGTAGTTTCTGAGAATGATTCTGTCTAGTTTGCATACGAAGATATTTCCTTTTCTACCATTGGCCTCAAAGCTCTGAAATCTCCACTTGCAAATTCCACAAAAAGAGAGTTTCAAATCTGCTGTTTCTAAAGGAAAGTTCAACTCTGAGAGTTGAATACACACCAGAAAAAGCAGTTACTGAGAAGTCTTCTGTCTAGCATTATATGAAGAAATCCCATTTCCAACGAAGACTTCAAAGAGGTCCAAATATCCACTTGCAGATTCTGCAAAAAGAGTGTTTCGAAACAACTGTATGAAAAGAAAGGTTAAACACTGTGAGTTGAACGCACACATTGCAAAGCGGTTTCTGAGAATGATTCCGTCTAATTATTATACGAAGGTATTTCCTTTTCTATCATTGGCCTCAAAGCGCTTGATACCTCCACCTGAAAATTCCACAAAAAGAGTGTTTCCAATCTACTCTGTCTAAAGGAACGTTCAACTCTGTGAGTTGAATACACACACACAGAAAGAATTCACTGAGAATTCTTCTGTCTGGCATTACATGAAGAAATCCCGTTTCCAACGAAGGCCTCAAAGAGGTCCAAATATCCACTTGCAGATTCTGCAAAAAGAGTGTTTCAAAACCGCTCCATTAAAAGGAATGTTGAACTCTGTGAGTTGAATGCAAACATCACAACTCAGTTTCTGAGAATGCTTCTGACTAGATTTTATGGTAAGATATTTCCTTTTCTACCGTAGGCTTCAATGCCCTCTAAATACACCCTTGCAAATTCTACAAAGAGACTGTTTCATAACTGCTCTATAGGAAGAAAGGTTGAACTCTGTGAGTTGAATGCAGAGATCACAACGTGGTTTCTGCGAATGATTCTTTGTAGTTTTTACATGAAGATATTTCGCTGTCTACCGTAGGCTTCAAAGCACTCAAAGTATTCACTTGGAACTTTTACAAAAAGAGTGTTAGAAAACTGCTCTTTCCAAAGTAAGGTTCAACTCTGTGAGTTGAATGCACACATAACAAACAAGAAGTTTCTGAGAATTCTTCTGTCCTGGTTTATAGGAAAAAATCCCGTTTCCAACGAAGGCCTCAAAGACGTTTAAATATCCACTTGCAGACTTCACAAACAGAGTGTTTCCAAACTGCTCTATGAAAAGAAAGGTTAAACTCTGTGAGTTGAACGCACACATCACAAAGTAGTTTCTGAGACTGATACTGTCTAGTTTTTATACGAAGATATTTCCTTTCTACCATTGGCGTCAAAGCGCTAGAATTCTCCACTTGCAAATTCCACAAAAAGAGTGTTTCCAATCTGCTCTGTCTAAAGGAAGGTTCAACTCTGTGAGTTGAATACACACACACAAAGAAGCTACTGAGAATTCTTTTTTCAAGAAATTATAAGAAGAAATCCCGTTTCCAACGAAGGCCTCAAAGAGTTCCAAATATCCACTTGCACACTGCACAAACTAAGTCTTTCCAAACTGCTCTATGCAAAGAAATGTTCAACTCTGTGAGTTTAATACACACATCACAAAGCAGTTTCTGAGAATGATACTGTCTAGTTTTTATACGAAGATATTTCCTTTCTACCATTGGCGTCAAAGCGCTAGAATTCTCCACTTGCAAATTCCACAAAAAGAGTGTTTCCAATCTGCTCTGTCTAAAGGAAGGTTCAACTCTGTGAGTTGAATACACACACACAAAGAAGCTACTGAGAATTCTTTTGTCAAGAAATTATAAGAAGAAATCCCGTTTCCAACGAAGGCCTCAAAGAGTTCCAAATATCCACTTGCACACTGCACAAACTAAGTCTTTCCAAACTGCTCTATGCAAAGAAATGTTCAACTCTGTGAGTTTAATACACACATCACAAAGCAGTTTCTGAGAATGATACTGTCTAGTTTTTATACGAAGATATTTCCTTTTGTACCATTGGCCTCATACTGCTAGAATTTTCCACTTGCAAATTCCACAAAAAGAGTGTTTCCAATCCGCTCTGTCTAAAGGAAGGTTCAACTCTCTGATTTGAATACATACATCCCAAAAGAAGTTACTGAGAATTCTTCTGTCTAGCATTATGTGAAGAAATCCCGTTTCCAACGAAAGCCTCAAAGAGGTCCAAATATCCAGTTGCAGAATTTACAAACTGACTGTTTCCAAACTCATCTATGAAAAGAAAGGTTAAACTCTGGGAGTTGAATGCACATATCACAAAGTAGTTCCTGAGAATGATTCTGTCTAGTTTTCATACGAAGATATTTCCTTTTCCACCAATGGCCTCAAAGTGCTTGAAATCTCCCCTTGCAAATTCCACAGACAAGTGTTTCAAATCTGCACTGTCTAAAGGAAGGTTCAACCCTGTGAGTTGAATACACACACACAGAAACAAATTCACTGAGAATTCTATTGTCTATCATTACACGAAGAAATCCCGTTTACTACGAAGGCCTCAAAGAGGTCCAAATATCCAGCTGCAGACATTACAAACTGAGTGTTTCCGAAGTGCTCTATGAAAAGAAGTGTTAAACACTGTGAGTTCAATGCACACATCCCAAAGCAGTTTCTGAGAATGATCCGTCTATTTTTTCTACGAAGATATTTCCTTTTCTGCCGTTGGCCTCAAAGCGCTTGAAATCTCCACTTGCAAATTCCACAAAAAGAGAGTTTCAAATCTGCTCTGTCTAAAGGAAGGTTCAACTCTGTGAGTTGAATACACACCACAAAAAGAAGTTACTGAGAATTCTTCTGTCTAGCATTATATGAAAAATCCCGTTTCCAACGAAGGCCACAAAGAGGTCCAAATATCCACTTGCAGATTCTGCAAAAAGAGTGTTTCCAAACTGCTCTATGAAAAGAAACGTTAAACTCTGTGAGTTGAACGCAAACATCACAAAGTAGTTTCTGAGAATGACTCCGTCTAGTTTTTATACGAAGATATTTCCTTTCCTACCATTCACTTCAAAGCGCTTGAAGTCTCCCCCTGAAAATTCCACAAAAAGTGTTTCCAATCTGCTCCGCCTAAAGGAAGCTTCAACTCTGTGACTTGAATACCCACAACCCAAAGAAGTTACTGAGAATTCTTCTGTCTAGCACTATATGAAGAAATCCCGTTTCCAACGAAGGCCTCAAATACATCCAAATATCCAGTTGCTGACTTTACAAACTGAGTGTTTCCAAACTGCTCTATGAAAAGAAAGGTTAAACACTGTGAGTTGAACACACACGTACCAAAGTAGTTTCTGAGAATGATTCTGTCTAGTTTGCATACGAAGATATTTCCTTTTCTACCATTGGCCTCAAAGCTTTGAAATCTCCACTTGCAAATTCCACAAAAAGAGAGTTTCAACTCTCCTGTTTCTAAAGGAAAGTTCAACTCTGAGAGTTGAATACACACCAGAAAAAGCAGTTACTGAGAAGTCTTCTGTCTAGCATTATATGAAGAAATCCCATTTCCAACGAAGACTTCAAAGAGGTCCAAATATCCACTTGCAGATTCTGCAAAAAGAGTGTTTCGAAACAACTGTATGAAAAGAAAGGTTAAACACTGTGAGTTGAACGCACACATTGCAAAGCAGTTTCTGAGAATGATTCCGTCTAATTATTATACGAAGGTATTTCCTTTTCTATCATTGGCCTCAAAGCGCTTGATACCTCCACCTGAAAATTCCACAAAAAGAGTGTTTCCAATCTACTCTGTCTAAAGGAACGTTCAACTCCGTGAGTTGAATACACACACACAGAAAGAATTCACTGAGAATTCTTCTGTCTGGCATTACATGAAGAAATCCCGTTTCCAACGAAGGCCTCAAAGAGGTCCAAATATCCACTTGCAGATTCTGCAAAAAGAGTGTTTCAAAACCGCTCCATTAAAAGGAATGTTGAACTCTGTGAGTTGAATGCAAACATCACAACTCAGTTTCTGAGAATGCTTCTGACTAGATTTTATGGTAAGATATTTCCTTTTCTACCGTAGGCTTCAATGCCCTCTAAATACACCCTTGCAAATTCTACAAAGAGACTGTTTCATAACTGCTCTATAGGAAGAAAGGTTGAACTCTGTGAGTTGACTGCAGAGATCACAACGTGGTTTCTGCGAATGATTCTTTGTAGTTTTTACATGAAGATATTTCGTTGTCAACCGTAGGCTTCAAAGCACTCAAAGTATTCACTTGGAACTTTTACAAAAAGAGTGTTAGAAAACTGCTCTTTCCAAAGTAAGGTTCAACTCTGTGAGTTGAATGCACACATAACAATCAAGAAGTTTCTGAGAATTCTTCTGTCCTGGTTTATATGAAAAAATCCCGTTTCCAACGAAGGCCTCAAAGATGTTTAAATATCCACTTGCAGACTTCACAAACAGAGGGTTTCCAAACTGCTCTATGAAAAGAAAGGTTAAACTCTGTGAGTTGAACGCACACATCACAAAGTAGCTTCTGAGAATGATACTGTCTAGTTTTTATACGAAGATATTTCCTTTCTACCATTGGCGTCAAAGCGCTAGAATTCTCCACTTGCAAATTCCACAAAAAGAGTGTTTCCAATCTGCTCTGTCTAAAGGAAGGTTCAACTCTGTGAGTTGAATACACACACACAAAGAAGGTACTGAGAATTCTTTTTTCAAGAAATTATAAGAAGAAATCCCGTTTCCAACGAAGGCCTCAAAGAGTTCCAAATATCCACTTGCACACTGCACAAACTAAGTCTTTCCAAACTGCTCTATGCAAAGAAATGTTCAACTCTGTGAGTTTAATACACACATCACAAAGCAGTTTCTGAGAATGATACTGTCTAGTTTTTATACGAAGATATTTCCTTTTGTACCATTGGCCTCATACTGCTAGAATTTTCCACTTGCAAATTCCACAAAAAGAGTGTTTCCAATCCGCTCTGTCTAAAGGAAGGTTCAACTCTCTGATTTGAATACATACATCCCAAAAGAAGTTACTGAGAATTCTTCTGTCTAGCATTATGTGAAGAAATCCCGTTTCCAACGAAAGCCTCAAAGAGGTCCAAATATCCAGTTGCAGAATTTACAAACTGACTGTTTCCAAACTCATCTATGAAAAGAAAGGTTAAACTCTGGGAGTTGAATGCACATATCACAAAGTAGTTCCTGAGAATGATTCTGTCTAGTTTTCATACGAAGATATTTCCTTTTCCACCAATGGCCTCAAAGTGCTTGAAATCTCCCCTTGCAAATTCCACAGACAAGTGTCTCAAATCTGCACTGTCTAAAGGAAGGTTCAACCCTGTGAGTTGAATACACACACACAGAAAAAAATTCACTGAGAATTCTATTGTCTATCATTACACGAAGAAATCCCGTTTACTACGAAGGCCTCAAAGAGGTCCAAATATCCAGCTGCAGACATTACAACCTGAGTGTTTCCAAAGTGCTCTATGAAAAGAAGTGTTAAACACTGTGAGTTCAATGCACACATCCCAAAGCAGTTTCTGAGAATGATTCCGTCTATTTTTTCTACGAAGATATTTCCTTTTCTGCCGTTGGCCTCAAAGCGCTTGAAATCTCCACTTGCAAATTCCACAAAAAGAGAGTTTCAAATCTGCTCTGTCTAAAGGAAGGTTCAACTCTGTGAGTTGAATACACACCACAAAAAGAAGTTACTGAGAATTCTTCTGTCTAGCATTATATGAAAAATCCCGTTTCCAACGAAGGCCACAAAGAGGTCCAAATATCCACTTGCAGATTCTGCAAAAAGAGTGTTTCCAAACTGCTCTATGAAAAGAAACGTTAAACTCTGTGAGTTGAACGCAAACATCACAAAGTAGTTTCTGAGAATGACTCCGTCTAGTTTTTATACGAAGATATTTCCTTTCCTACCATTCACTTCAAAGCGCTTGAAGTCTCCCCCTGAAAATTCCACAAAAAGTGTTTCCAATCTGCTCCGCCTAAAGGAAGCTTCAACTCTGTGACTTGAATACCCACAACCCAAAGAAGTTACTGAGAATTCTTCTGTCTAGCATTATATGAAGAAATCCCGTTTCCAACGAAGGCCTCAAATACATCCAAATATCCAGTTGCTGACTTTACAAACTGAGTGTTTCCAAACTGCTCTATGAAAAGAAAGGTTAAACACTGTGAGTTGAACACACACGTACCAAAGTAGTTTCTGAGAATGATTCTGTCTAGTTTGCATACGAAGATATTTCCTTTTCTACCATTGGCCTCAAAGCTTTGAAATCTCCACTTGCAAATTCCACAAAAAGAGAGTTTCAAATCTGCTGTTTCTAAAGGAAAGTTCAACTCGGAGAGTTGAATACACACCAGAAAAAGCAGTTACTGAGAAGTACTCTGTCCAGCATTATATGAAGAAATCCTTTTTCCAACAAAGACTTCAAAGAAGTCCAAAAAAATATCCACTTGAAGATTCTGCAAAAAGAGTGTTTCGAAACAACTGTATGAAAAGAAAGTTAAACTCTGTGAGTTCAACGCACACATTGCAAAGCAGTTTCTGAGAATGATTCCGTCTAATTATTATACGAAGGTATTTCCTTTTCTATCATTGGCCTCAAAGCGCTTGATACCTCCACCTGAAAATTCCACAAAAAGAGTGTTTCCAATCTACTCTGTCTAAAGGAACGTTCAACTCTGTGAGTTGAATACACACACACAGTAAAGAATTCACTGAGAATTCTTTTGTCAAGAATTATAAGAAGAAATCCCGTTTCCAACGAAGGCCTCAAAGAGTTCCTAATATCCACTTGCAGACTGTACAAACTAAGTCTTTCCAAACTGCTCTATGCAAAGAAATGTTCAACCCTGTGAGTTTAATGCACACATCAGAAAGCAGTTTCTGAGAATGATACTGTCTAGTTTTTATACGAAGATATTTCCTTTTGTACCATTGGCCTCATACTGCTAGAATTTTCCACTTGCAAATTCCACAAAAAGAGTGTTTCCAATCCGCTCTGTCTAAAGGAAGGTTCAACTCTCTGATTTGAATACATACATCCCAAAAGAAGTTACTGAGAATTCTTCTGTCTAGCATTATGTGAAGAAATCCCGTTTCCAACGAAAGCCTCCAAGAGGTCCAAATATCCAGTTGCAGAATTTACAAACTGACTGTTTCCAAACTCATCTGTGAAAAGAAAGGTTAAACTCTGTGAGTTGAATGCACATATCACAAAGTAGTTCCTGAGAATGATTCTGTCTAGTTTTTATTCGAAGATATTTCCTTTTCCACCAATGGCCTCAAAGTGCTTGAAATCTCCCCTTGCAAATTCCACAGAAAAGTGTTTCAAATCTCCACTGTCTAAAGGAAGGTTCAACCCTGTGAGTTGAATACACACACACAGAAAAATATTCACTGAGAATTCTATTGTCTATCATTACACGAAGAAATCCCGTTTACTACGAAGGCCTCAAAGAGGTCCAAATATCCAGCTGCAGACATTACAAACTGAGTGTTTCCAAAGTGCTCTATGAAAAGAAGTGTTAAACACTGTGAGTTCAATGCACACATCCCAAAGCAGTTTCTGAGAATGATTCCGTCTATTTTTTCTACGAAGATATTTCCTTTTCTGCCGTTGGCCTCAAAGCGCTTGAAATCTCCACTTGCAAATTCCACAAAAAGAGAGTTTCAAATCTGCTCTGTCTAAAGGAAGGTTCAACTCTGTGAGTTGAATACACACCACAAAAAGAAGTTACTGAGAATTCTTCTGTCTAGCATTATATGAAAAATCCCGTTTCCAACGAAGGCCACAAAGAGGTCCAAATATCCACTTGCAGATTCTGCAAAAAGAGTGTTTCCAAACTGCTCTATGAAAAGAAACGTTAAACTCTGTGAGTTGAACGCAAACATCACAAAGTAGTTTCTGAGAATGACTCCGTCTAGTTTTTATACGAAGATATTTCCTTTCCTACCATTCACTTCAAAGCGCTTGAAGTCTCCCCCTGAAAATTCCACAAAAAGTGTTTCCAATCTGCTCCGCCTAAAGGAAGCTTCAACTCTGTGACTTGAATACCCACAACCCAAAGAAGTTACTGAGAATCTCTGTCTAGCATTATATGAAGAAATCCCCGTTTCCAACGAAGGCCTCAAATACATCCAAATATCCAGTTGCTGACTTTACAAACTGAGTGTTTCCAAACTGCTCTATGAAAAGAAAGGTTAAACACTGTGAGTTGAACACACACGTACCAAAGTAGTTTCTGAGAATGATTCTGTCTAGTTTGCATACGAAGATATTTCCTTTTCTACCATTGGCCTCAAAGCTCTGAAATCTCCACTTGCAAATTCCACAAAAAGAGAGTTTCAAATCTGCTGTTTCTAAAGGAAAGTTCAACTCTGAGAGTTGAATACACACCAGAAAAAGCAGTTACTGAGAAGTCTTCTGTCTAGCATTATATGAAGAAATCCCATTTCCAACGAAGACTTCAAAGAGGTCCAAATATCCACTTGCAGATTCTGCAAAAAGAGTGTTTCGAAACAACTGTATGAAAAGAAAGGTTAAACACTGTGAGTTGAACGCACACATTGCAAAGCGGTTTCTGAGAATGATTCCGTCTAATTATTATACGAAGGTATTTCCTTTTCTATCATTGGCCTCAAAGCGCTTGATACCTCCACCTGAAAATTCCACAAAAAGAGTGTTTCCAATCTACTCTGTCTAAAGGAACGTTCAACTCTGTGAGTTGAATACACACACACAGAAAGAATTCACTGAGAATTCTTCTGTCTGGCATTACATGAAGAAATCCCGTTTCCAACGAAGGCCTCAAAGAGGTCCAAATATCCACTTGCAGATTCTGCAAAAAGAGTGTTTCAAAACCGCTCCATTAAAAGGAATGTTGAACTCTGTGAGTTGAATGCAAACATCACAACTCAGTTTCTGAGAATGCTTCTGACTAGATTTTATGGTAAGATATTTCCTTTTCTACCGTAGGCTTCAATGCCCTCTAAATACACCCTTGCAAATTCTACAAAGAGACTGTTTCATAACTGCTCTATAGGAAGAAAGGTTGAACTCTGTGAGTTGACTGCAGAGATCACAACGTGGTTTCTGCGAATGATTCTTTGTAGTTTTTACATGAAGATATTTCGTTGTCAACCGTAGGCTTCAAAGCACTCAAAGTATTCACTTGGAACTTTTACAAAAAGAGTGTTAGAAAACTGCTCTTTCCAAAGTAAGGTTCAACTCTGTGAGTTGAATGCACACATAACAATCAAGAAGTTTCTGAGAATTCTTCTGTCCTGGTTTATATGAAGAAATCCCGTTTCCAACGAAGGCCTCAAAGACGTTTAAATATCCACTTGCAGACTACACAAACAGAGTGTTTCCAAACTGCTCTATGAAAAGAAAGGGTAAACACTGTGAGTTGAACGCACACATCACAAAGTAGTTTCTGAGAATGATACTGTCTAGTTTTTATACGAAGATATTTCCTTTTGTACCCCTGGCCTCAAATCGCTAGAATTCTCCACTTGCAAATTCCACAAAAAGAGTGTTTCCAATCTGCTCTGTCTAAAGGAAGGTTCAACTCTGTGAGTTGAAGACACACACACACAAAGAAGCTACTGAGAATTCTTTTGTCAAGAATTATAAGAAGAAATCCCGTTTCCAACGAAGGCCTCAAAGAGTTCCAAATATCCACTTGCACACTGTACAAACTAAGTCTTTCCAAACTGCTCTAGGCAAAGAAATGTTCAACTCTGTGAGTTTAATGCACACATCACAAAGCAGTTTCTGAGAATGATTCCATCTAGTTTTTATACGAAGATAGCCGTTTCTACCATTGACCTCAAGGCTCTTGAAATCTCCACCTGAAAATTCTGCAAAAAGCGTGTTTCCAATCTGCTCTGTCTAAAGGAAGGTTCAACTCTCTGAGTTAAATACACACAACCCATAAGAAGTTACTGAGAATTCTTCTGTCTAGCATTATGTGAAGAAATCCCGTTTCCAACGAAAGCCTCAAAGAGGTCCAAATATCCAGTTGCAGAATTTACAAACTGACTGTTTCCAAACTCATCTATGAAAAGAAAGGTTAAACTCTGTGAGTTGAATGCACATATCACAAAGTAGTTCCTGAGAATGATTCTGTCTAGTTTTTATACGAAGATATTTCCTTTTCCACCAATGGCCTCAAAGTGCTTGAAATCTCCCCTTGCAAATTCCACAGACAAGTGTTTCAAATCTGCACTGTCTAAAGGAAGGTTCAACCCTGTGAGTTGAATACACACACACAGAAAAAAATTCACTGAGAATTCTATTGTCTATCATTACACGAAGAAATCCCGTTTACTACGAAGGCCTCAAGGAGGTCCAAATATCCAGCTGCAGACATTACAAACTGAGTGTTTCCAAAGTGCTCTATGAAAAGAAGTGTTAAACACTGTGAGTTCAATGCACACATCCCAAAGCAGTTTCTGAGAATGATTCCGTCTATTTTTTCTACGAAGATATTTCCTTTTCTGCCGTTGGCCTCAAAGCGCTTGAAATCTCCACTTGCAAATTCCACAAAAAGAGAGTTTCAAATCTGCTCTGTCTAAAGGAAGGTTCAACTCTGTGAGTTGAATACACACCACAAAAAGAAGTTACTGAGAATTCTTCTGTCTAGCATTATATGAAAAATCCCGTTTCCAACGAAGGCCACAAAGAGGTCCAAATATCCACTTGCAGATTCTGCAAAAAGAGTGTTTCCAAACTGCTCTATGAAAAGAAACGTTAAACTCTGTGAGTTGAACGCAAACATCACAAAGTAGTTTCTGAGAATGACTCCGTCTAGTTTTTATACGAAGATATTTCCTTTCCTACCATTCACTTCAAAGCGCTTGACGTCTCCCCCTGAAAATTCCACAAAAAGTGTTTCCAATCTGTTCCGCCTAAAGGAAGCTTCAACTCTGTGACTTGAATACCCATAACCCAAAGAAGTTACTGAGAATTCTTCTGTCTAGCATTATATGAAGAAATCCCGTTTCCAACGAAGGCCTCAAATACATCCAAATATCCAGTTGCTGACTTTACAAACTGAGTGTTTCCAAACTGCTCTATGAAAAGAAAGGTTAAACACTGTGAGTTGAACACACACGTACCAAAGTAGTTTCTGAGAATGATTCTGTCTAGTTTGCATACGAAGATATTTCCTTTTCTACCATTGGCCTCAAAGCTCTGAAATCTCCACTTGCAAATTCCACAAAAAGAGAGTTTCAAATCTGCTGTTTCTAAAGGAAAGTTCAACTCTGAGAGTTGAATACACACCAGAAAAAGCAGTTACTGAGAAGTCTTCTGTCTAGCATTATATGAAGAAATCCCATTTCCAACGAAGACTTCAAAGAGGTCCAAATATCCACTTGCAGATTCTGCAAAAAGAGTGTTTCGAAACAACTGTATGAAAAGAAAGGTTAAACACTGTGAGTTGAACGCACACATTGCAAAGCGGTTTCTGAGAATGATTCCGTCTAATTATTATACGAAGGTATTTCCTTTTCTATCATTGGCCTCAAAGCGCTTGATACCTCCACCTGAAAATTCCACAAAAAGAGTGTTTCCAATCTACTCTGTCTAAAGGAACGTTCAACTCTGTGAGTTGAATACACACACACAGAAAGAATTCACTGAGAATTCTTCTGTCTGGCATTACATGAAGAAATCCCGTTTCCAACGAAGGCCTCAAAGAGGTCCAAATATCCACTTGCAGATTCTGCAAAAAGAGTGTTTCAAAACCGCTCCATTAAAAGGAATGTTGAACTCTGTGAGTTGAATGCAAACATCACAACTCAGTTTCTGAGAATGCTTCTGACTAGATTTTATGGTAAGATATTTCCTTTTCTACCGTAGGCTTCAATGCCCTCTAAATACACCCTTGCAAATTCTACAAAGAGACTGTTTCATAACTGCTCTATAGGAAGAAAGGTTGAACTCTGTGAGTTGAATGCAGAGATCACAACGTGGTTTCTGCGAATGATTCTTTGTAGTTTTTACATGAAGATATTTCGTTGTCAACCGTAGGCTTCAAAGCACTCAAAGTATTCACTTGGAACTTTTACAAAAAGAGTGTTAGAAAACTGCTCTTTCCAAAGTAAGGTTCAACTCTGTGAGTTGAATGCACACATAACAATCAAGAAGTTTCTGAGAATTCTTCTGTCCTGGTTTATATGAAGAAATCCCGTTTCCAACGAAGGCCTCAAAGACGTTTAAATATCCACTTGCAGACTTCACAAACAGAGTGTTTCCAAACTGCTCTATGAACAGAAAGGGTAAACACTGTGAGTTGAACGCACACATCACAAAGTAGTTTCTGAGAATGATACTGTCTAGTTTTTATACGAAGATATTTCCTTTCTACCATTGGCGTCAAAGCGCTAGAATTCTCCACTTGCAAATTCCACAAAAAGAGTGTTTCCAATCTGCTCTGTCTAAAGGAAGGTTCAACTCTGTGAGTTGAATACACACACACAAAGAAGCTACTGAGAATTCTTTTGTCAAGAATTATAAGAAGAAATCCCGTTTCCAACGAAGGCCTCAAAGAGTTCCAAATATCCACTTGCACACTGCACAAACTAAGTCTTTCCAAACTGCTCTATGCAAAGAAATGTTCAACTCCGTGAGTTTAATACACACATCACAAAGCAGTTTCTGAGAATGATGACTGTCTAGTTTTTATACGAAGATATTTCCTTTTGTACCATTGGCCTCATACTGCTAGAATTTTCCACTTGCAAATTCCACAAAAAGAGTGTTTCCAATCCGCTCTGTCTAAAGGAAGGTTCAAATCTCTGATTTGAATACATACATCCCAAAAGAAGTTACTGAGAATTCTTCTGTCTAGCATTATGTGAAGAAATCCCGTTTCCAACGAAAGCCTCAAAGAGGTCCAAATATCCAGTTGCAGAATTTACAAACTGACTGTTTCCAAACTCATCTATGAAAAGAAAGGTTAAACTCTGTGAGTTGAATGCACATATCACAAAGTAGTTCCTGAGAATGATTCTGTCTAGTTTTTATACGAAGATATTTCCTTTTCCACCAATGGCCTCAAAGTGCTTGAAATCTCCCCTTGCAAATTCCACAGACAAGTGTTTCAAATCTGCACTGTCTAAAGGAAGGTTCAACCCTGTGAGTTGAATACACACACACAGAAAAAAATTCACTGAGAATTCTATTGTCTATCATTACACGAAGAAATCCCGTTTACTACGAAGGCCTCAAAGAGGTCCAAATATCCAGCTGCAGACATTACAAACTGAGTGTTTCCAAAGTGCTCTATGAAAAGAAGTGTTAAACACTGTGAGTTCAATGCACACATCCCAAAGCAGTTTCTGAGAATGATTCCGTCTATTTTTTCTACGAAGATATTTCCTTTTCTGCCGTTGGCCTCAAAGCGCTTGAAATCTCCACTTGCAAATTCCACAAAAAGAGAGTTTCAAATCTGCTCTGTCTAAAGGAAGGTTCAAATCTGTGAGTTGAATACACACCACAAAAAGAAGTTACTGAGAATTCTTCTGTCTAGCATTATATGAAAAATCCCGTTTCCAACGAAGGCCACAAAGAGGTCCAAATATCCACTTGCAGATTCTGCAAAATGAGTGTTTCCAAACTGCTCTATGAAAAGAAACGTTAAACTCTGTGAGTTGAACGCAAACATCACAAAGTAGTTTCTGAGAATGACTCCGTCTAGTTTTTATACGAAGAATATTACCTTTCCTAACATTCACTTCAAAGCGCTTGAAGTCTCCCCCTGAAAATTCCACAAAAAGTGTTTCCAATCTGCTCCGCCTAAAGGAAGCTTCAACTCTGTGAGTTGAATACCCACAACCCAAAGAAGTTACTGAGAATTCTTCTGTCTAGCATTATATGAAGAAATCCCGTTTCCAACGAAGGCCTCAAATACATCCAAATATCCATTTGCTGACTTTACAAACTGAGTGTTTCCAAACTGCTCTATGAAAAGAAAGGTTAAACACTGTGAGTTGAACACACACGTACCAAAGTAGTTTCTGAGAATGATTCTGTCTAGTTTGCATACGAAGATATTTCCTTTTCTACCATTGGCCTCAAAGCTCTGAAATCTCCACTTGCAAATTCCACAAAAAGAGAGTTTCAAATCTGCTGTTTCTAAAGGAAAGTTCAACTCTGAGAGTTGAATACACACCAGAAAAAGCAGTTACTGAGAAGTCTTCTGTCTAGCATTATATGAAGAAATCCCATTTCCAACGAAGACTTCAAAGAGGTCCAAATATCCACTTGCAGATTCTGCAAAAAGAGTGTTTCGAAACAACTGTATGAAAAGAAAGGTTAAACACTGTGAGTTGAACGCACACATTGCAAAGCAGTTTCTGAGAATGATTCCGTCTAATTATTATACGAAGGTATTTCCTTTTCTATCATTGGCCTCAAAGCGCTTGATACCTCCACCTGAAAATTCCACAAAAAGAGTGTTTCCAATCTACTCTGTCTAAAGGAACGTTCAACTCTGTGAGTTGAATACACACACACAGAAAGAATTCACTGAGAATTCTTCTGTCTGGCATTACATGAAGAAATCCCGTTTCCAACGAAGGCCTCAAAGAGGTCCAAATATCCACTTGCAGATTCTGCAAAAAGAGTGTTTCAAAACCGCTCCATTAAAAGGAATGTTGAACTCTGTGAGTTGAATGCAAACATCACAACTCAGTTTCTGAGAATGCTTCTGACTAGATTTTATGGTAAGATATTTCCTTTTCTACCGTAGGCTTCAATGCCCTGTAAATACACCCTTGCAAATTCTACAAAGAGACTGTTTCATAACTGCTCTATAGGAGGAAAGGTTCAACTCTGTGAGTTGAATGCAGAGATCACAACGTGGTTTCTGCGAATGATTCTTTGTAGTTTTTACATGAAGATATTTCGTTGTCTACCGTAGGCTTCAAAGCACTCAAAGTATTCACTTGGAACTTTTACAAAAAGAGTGTTAGAAAACTGCTCTTTCCAAAGTAAGGTTCAACTCTGTGAGTTGAATGCACACATAACAAACAAGAAGTTTCTGAGAATTCTTCTGTCCTGGTTTATATGAAGAAATCCCGTTTCCAACGAAGGCCTCAAAGACGTTTAAATATCCACTTGCAGACTTCACAAACAGAGTGTTTCCAAACTGCTCTATGAAAAGAAAGGGTAAACACTGTGAGTTGAACGCACACCTCACAAAGTAGTTTCTGACAATGATACTGTCTAGTTTTTATACGAAGATATTTCCTTTTGTACCATTGGCCTCATACTGCTAGAATTTTCCACTTGCAAATTCCACAAAAAGAGTGTTTCCAATCTGCTCTGTCTAAAGGAAGGTTCAACTCTGTGAGTTGAGTACACACACACAAAGAAGCTACTGAGAATCCTTTTGTCAAGAATTATAAGAAGAAATCCCGTTTCCAACCAAGGCCTCAAAGAGTTCCAAATATCCACTTGCACACTGCACAAACTAAGTCTTTCCATACTGCTCTATGCAAAGAAATGTTCAACTCTGTGAGTTTAATACACACATCACAAAGCAGTTTCTGAGAATGATACTGTCTAGTTTTTATACGAAGATATTTCCTTTTGTACCATTGGCCTCATACTGCTAGAATTTTCCACTTGCAAATTCCACAAAAAGAGTGTTTCCAATCCGCTCTGTCTAAAGGAAGGTTCAACTCTCTGATTTGAATACATACATCCCAAAAGAAGTTACTGAGAATTCTTCTGTCTAGCATTATGTGAAGAAATCCCGTTTCCAACGAAAGCCTCAAAGAGGCCCAAATATCCAGTTGCAGCATTTACAAACTGACTGTTTCCAAACTCATCTATGAAAAGAAAGGTTAAACTCTGTGAGTTGAATGCACATATCACAAAGTAGTTCCTGAGAATGATTCTGTCTAGTTTTTATACGAAGATATTTCCTTTTCCACCAATGGCCTCAAAGTGCTTGAAATCTCCCCTTGCAAATTCCACAGACAAGTGTCTCAAATCTGCACTGTCTAAAGGAAGGTTCAACCCTGTGAGTTGAATACACACACACAGAAAAAAATTCACTGAGAATTCTATTGTCTATCATTACACGAAGAAATCCCGTTTACTACGAAGGCCTCAAAGAGGTCCAAATATCCAGCTGCAGACATTACAACCTGAGTGTTTCCAAAGTGCTCTATGAAAAGAAGTGTTAAACACTGTGAGTTCAATGCACACATCCCAAAGCAGTTTCTGAGAATGATTCCGTCTATTTTTTCTACGAAGATATTTCCTTTTCTGCCGTTGGCCTCAAAGCGCTTGAAATCTCCACTTGCAAATTCCACAAAAAGAGAGTTTCAAATCTGCTCTGTCTAAAGGAAGGTTCAACTCTGTGAGTTGAATACACACCACAAAAAGAAGTTACTGAGAATTCTTCTGTCTAGCATTATATGAAAAATCCCGTTTCCAACGAAGGCCTCAAAGAGGTCCAAATATCCACTTGCAGATTCTGCAAAAAGAGTGTTTCCAAACTGCTCTATGAAAAGAAACGTTAAACTCTGTGAGTTGAACGCAAACATCACAAAGTAGTTTCTGAGAATGACTCCGTCTAGTTTTTATACGAAGATATTTCCTTTCCTACCATTCACTTCAAAGCGCTTGAAGTCTCCCCCTGAAAATTCCACAAAAAGTGTTTCCAATCTGCTCCGCCTAAAGGAAGCTTCAACTCTGTGACTTGAATACCCACAACCCAAAGAAGTTACTGAGAATTCTTCTGTCTAGCATTATATGAAGAAATCCCGTTTCCAACGAAGGCCTCAAATACATCCAAATATCCAGTTGCTGACTTTACAAACTGAGTGTTTCCAAACTGCTCTATGAAAAGAAAGGTTAAACACTGTGAGTTGAACACACACGTACCAAAGTAGTTTCTGAGAATGATTCTGTCTAGTTTGCATACGAAGATATTTCCTTTTCTACCATTGGCCTCAAAGCTCTGAAATCTCCACTTGCAAATTCCACAAAAAGAGAGTTTCAAATCTGCTGTTTCTAAAGGAAAGTTCAACTCTGAGAGTTGAATACACACCAGAAAAAGCAGTTACTGAGAAGTCTTCTGTCTAGCATTATATGAAGAAATCCCATTTCCAACGAAGACTTCAAAGAGGTCCAAATATCCACTTGCAGATTCTGCAAAAAGAGTGTTTCGAAACAACTGTATGAAAAGAAAGGTTAAACACTGTGAGTTGAACGCACACATTGCAAAGCGGTTTCTGAGAATGATTCCGTCTAATTATTATACGAAGGTATTTCCTTTTCTATCATTGGCCTCAAAGCGCTTGATACCTCCACCTGAAAATTCCACAAAAAGAGTGTTTCCAATCTACTCTGTCTAAAGGAACGTTCAACTCTGTGAGTTGAATACACACACACAGAAAGAATTCACTGAGAATTCTTCTGTCTGGCATTACATGAAGAAATCCCGTTTCCAACGAAGGCCTCAAAGAGGTCCAAATATCCACTTGCAGATTCTGCAAAAAGAGTGTTTCAAAACCGCTCCATTAAAAGGAATGTTGAACTCTGTGAGTTGAATGGAAACATCACAACTCAGTTGCTGAGAATGCTTCTGACTAGATTTTATGGTCAGATATTTCCTTTTCTACCTTAGGCTTCAATAACCTCTAAATACACCCTTGCAAATTCTACAAAGAGACTGTTTAATAACTGCTCTATAGGAAGAAAGGTTGAACTCTGTGTGTTGAATGCAGAGATCACAACGTGGTTTCGGCGAATGATTCTTCGCAGTTTTTACATGAAGATATTTCGTTGTCAACCGTAGGCTTCAAAGCACTCAAAGTATTCACTTGGAACTTTTACAAAAAGAGTGTTAGAAAACTGCTCTTTCCAAAGTAAGGTTCAACTCTGTGAGTTGAATGCACACATAACAAACAAGAAGTTTCTGAGAATTCTTCTGTCCTGGTTTATATGAAAAAATCCCGTTTCCAACGAAGGCCTCAAAGACGTTTAAATATCCACTTGCAGACTTCACAAACAGAGTGTTTCCAAACTGCTCTATGAAAAGAAAGGTTAAACTCTGTGAGTTGAACGCACACATCACAAAGTAGCTTCTGAGAATGATACTGTCTAGTTTTTATACGAAGATATTTCCTTTCTACCATTGGCGTCAAAGCGCTAGAATTCTCCACTTGCAAATTCCACAAAAAGAGTGTTTCCAATCTGCTCTGTCTCAAGGAAGGTTCAACTCTGTGAGTTGAATACACACACACAAAGAAGCTACTGAGAATTCTTTTGTCAAGAATTATAAGAAGAAATCCCGTTTCCAACGAAGGCCTCAAAGAGTCCCAAATATCCACTTGCACACTGCACAAACTAAGTCTTTCCAAACTGCTCTAGGCAAGGAAATGTTCAACTCTGTGAGTTTAATACACACATCACAAAGCAGTTTCTGAGAATGATTCCGTCTAGTTTTTATACGAAGATAGCCTTTTCTACCATTGGCCTCAAGGCTCTTGAAATCTCCACCTGAAAATTCCGCAAAAAGCGTGCTTTCAATCTATATGTCTAAAGGAAGGTTCAACTCTCTGAGTTGAATACATACATCCCAAAAGAAGTTACTGAGAATTCTTCTGTCTAGCATTATGTGAAGTAAATCCCGTTTCCAACGAAAGCCTCAAAGAGGTCCAAATATCCAGTTGCAGAATTTACAAACTGACTGTTTCCAAACTCATCTATGAAAAGAAAGGTTAAACTCTGGGAGTTGAATGCACATATCACAAAGTAGTTCCTGAGAATGATTCTGTCTAGTTTTTATACGAAGATATTTCCTTTTCCACCAATGGCCTCAAAGTGCTTGAAATCTCCCCTTGCAAATTCCACAGAAAAGTGTTTCAAATCTGCACTGTCTGAAGGAAGGTTCAACCCTGTGAGTTGAATACACACACACAGAAAAAAATTCACTGAGAATTCTATTGTCTATCATTACACGAAGAAATCCCGTTTACTACGAAGGCCTCAAAGAGGTCCAAATATCCAGCTGCAGACATTTCAAACTGAGTGTTTCCAAAGTGCTCTATGAAAAGAAGTGTTAAACACTGTGAGTTCAATGCACACATCCCAAAGCAGTTTCTGAGAATGATTCCGTCTATTTTTTCTACGAAGATATTTCCTTTTCTACCGTTGGCCTCAAAGCGCTTGAAATCTCCACTTGCAAATTCCACAAAAAGAGAGTTTCAAATCTGCTCTGTCTAAAGGAAGGTTCAACTCTGTGAGTTGAATACACACCACAAAAAGAAGTTACTGAGAATTCTTCTGTCTAGCATTATATGAAAAATCCCGTTTCCAACGAAGGCCACAAAGAGGTCCAAATATCCACTTGCAGATTCTGCAAAAAGAGTGTCTCCAAACTGCTCTACGAAAAGAAACGTTAAACTCTGTGAGTTGAACGCAAACATCACAAAGTAGTTTCTGAGAATGACTCCGTCTAGTTTTTATACGAAGATATTTCCTTTTCTACCGTTGGCCTCAAAGCGCTTGAAGTCTCCCCCTGAAAATTCCACAAAAAGTGTTTCCAATCTGCTCCGCCTAAAGGAAGCTTCAACTCTGTGAGTTGAATACCCACAACACAAAGAAGTTACTGAGAATTCTTCTGTCTCGCATTATAGGAAGAAATCCCGTTTCCAACGAAGGCCTCAAATACATCCACATATCCAGTTGCTGACTTTACAAACTGAGTGTTTCCAAACTGCTCTATGAAAAGAAAGGTTAAACACTGTGAGTTGAACACACACGTACCAAAGTAGTTTCTGAGAATGATTCTGTCTAGTTTGCATACAAAGATATTTCCTTTTCTACCACTGGCCTCAAAGCTTTGAAATCTCCACTTGCAAATTCCACAAAAAGAGAGTTTCAAATCTGCTGTTCCTAAAGGAAAGTTCAACTCTGAGAGTTGAATACACACCAGAAAAAGCAGTTACTGAGAAGTCTTCTGTCTAGCATTATATGAAGAAATCCCATTTCCAACGAAGACTTCAAAGAGGTCCAAATATCCACTTGCAGATTCTGCAAAAAGAGTGTTTCGAAACAACTGTATGAAAAGAAAGGTTAAACACTGTGAGTTGAACGCACACATTGCAAAGCGGTTTCTGAGAATGATTCCGTCTAATTATTATACGAAGGTATTTCCTTTTCTATCATTGGCCTCAAAGCGCTTGATACCTCCACCTGAAAATTCCACAAAAAGAGTGTTTCCAATCTACTCTGTCTAAAGGAACGTTCAACTCTGTGAGTTGAATACACACACACAGAAAGAATTCACTGAGAATTCTTCTGTCTGGCATTACATGAAGAAATCCCGTTTCCAACGAAGACCTCAAAGAGGTCCAAATATCCACTTGCAGATTCTGCAAAAAGAGTGTTTCAAAACCGCTCCATTAAAAGGAATGTTGAACTCTGTGAGTTGAATGCAAACATCACAACTCAGTTGCTGAGAATGCTTCTGTCTAGTTTTTATGGTAAGATATTTCCTTTTCTACCGTAGGCTTCAATGCCCTCTAAATACACCCTTGCAAATTCTACAAAGAGAGTGTTTCATAACTGCTCTATAGAAAGAATGGTTGAACTCTGTGAGTTGAATGCACAGATCACAACGTGGTTTCTGCGAATGATTCTTTCTAGTTTTTACATGCAGATATTTCATTGTCTACCAAAGGCTTCAAAGCAATCAAAGTATGCACTTGGAAATTTTACAAAAAGAGTGTTAGAAAACTGCTCTTTCCAAAGTAAGGTTCAACTCTGTGAGTTGAATGCACACATAACAAACAAGAAGTTTCTGAGAATTCTTCTGTCCTGGTTTATGTGAAAAAATCCCGTTTCCAACGAAGGCCTCAAAGACGTTTAAATATCCACTTGCAGACTTCACAAACAGAGGGTTTCCAAACTGCTCTATGAAAAGAAAGGTTAAACTCTGTGAGTTGAACGCACACATCACAAAGTAGCTTCTGAGAATGATACTGTCTAGTTTTTATACGAAGATATTTCCTTTCTACCATTGGCGTCAAAGCGCTAGAATTCTCCACTTGCAAATTCCACAAAAAGAGTGTTTCCAATCTGCTCTGTCTAAAGGAAGGTTCAACTCTGTGAGTTGAATACACACACACAAAGAAGCTACTGAGAATTCTTTTGTCAAGAATTATAAGAAGAAATCCCGTTTCCAACGAAGGCCTCAAAGAGTTCCATATATCCACTTGCACACTGTACACACTAAGTCTTTCCAAACTGCTCTATGCAAAGAAATGTTCAACCCTGTGAGTTTAATGCACACATCACAAAGCAGTTTCTGAGAATGATACTGTCTAGTTTTTATACGAAGATATTTCCTTTTGTACCATTGGCCTCATACTGCTAGAATTTTCCACTTGCAAATTCCACAAAAAGAGTGTTTCCAATCCGCTCTGTCTAAAGGAAGGTTCAACTCTCTGATTTGAATACATACATCCCAAAAGAAGTTACTGAGAATTCTTGTCTAGCATTATGTGAAGAAATCCCGTTTCCAACGAAAGCCTCAAAGAGGTCCAAATATCCAGTTGCAGAATTTACAAACTGACTGTTTCCAAACTCATCTATGAAAAGAAAGGTTAAACTCTGTGAGTTGAATGCACATATCACAAAGTAGTTCCTGAGAATGATTCTGTCTAGTTTTTATACGAAGATATTTCCTTTTCCACCAATGGCCTCAAAGTGCTTGAAATCTCCCCTTGCAAATTCCACAGACAAGTGTTTCAAATCTGCACTGTCTAAAGGAAGGTTCAACCCTGTGAGTTGAATACACACACACAGAAAAAAATTCACTGAGAATTCTACTGTCTATCATGACACGAAGAAATCCCGTTTACTGCGAAGGCCTCAAAGAGGTCCAAATATCCAGTTGCAAACCTTACAAACAGAGTGTTTCCAAAGTGCTCTATGAAAAGAAGTGTTAAACACTGTGAGTTGAACGCACACATCCCAAAGTAGTTTCTGAGAATGATGCCGTCTATTTTTTCTACGAAGATATTTCCTTTTCTGCCGTTGGCCTCAAAGCGCTTGAAATCTCCACTTGCAAATTCCACAAAAAGAGAGTTTCAAATCTGCTCTGTCTAAAGGAAGGTTCAACTCTGTGAGTTGAATACACACCACAAAAAGAAGTTACTGAGAATTCTTCTGTCTAGCATTATATGAAAAATCCCGTTTCCAACGAAGGCCACAAAGAGGTCCAAATATCCACTTGCAGATTCTGCAAAGAGTGTTTCCAAACTGCTCTATGAAAAGAAACGTTAAACTCTGTGAGTTGAACGCAAACATCACAAAGTAGTTTCTGAGAATGACTCCGTCTAGTTTTTATACGAAGATATTTCCTTTCCTACCATTCACTTCAAAGCGCTTGAAGTCTCCCCCTGAAAATTCCACAAAAAGTGTTTCCAATCTGCTCCGCCTAAAGGAAGCTTCAACTCTGTGACTTGAATACCCACAACCCAAAGAAGTTACTGAGAATTCTTCTGTCTAGCATTATATGAAGAAATCCCGTTTCCAACGAAGGCCTCAAATACATCCAAATATCCAGTTGCTGACTTTACAAACTGAGTGTTTCCAAACTGCTCTATGAAAAGAAAGGTTAAACACTGTGAGTTGAACACACACGTACCAAAGTAGTTTCTGAGAATGATTCTGTCTAGTTTGCATACGAAGATATTTCCTTTTCTACCATTGGCCTCAAAGCTCTGAAATCTCCACTTGCAAATTCCACAAAAAGAGAGTTTCAAATCTGCTGTTTCTAAAGGAAAGTTCAACTCTGAGAGTTGAATACACACCAGAAAAAGCAGTTACTGAGAAGTCTTCTGTCTAGCATTATATGAAGAAATCCCATTTCCAACGAAGACTTCAAAGAGGTCCAAATATCCACTTGCAGATTCTGCAAAAAGAGTGTTTCGAAACAACTGTATGAAAAGAAAGGTTAAACACTGTGAGTTGAACGCACACATTGCAAAGCAGTTTCTGAGAATGATTCCGTCTAATTATTATACGAAGGTATTTCCTTTTCTATCATTGGCCTCAAAGCGCTTGATACCTCCACCTGAAAATTCCACAAAAAGAGTGTTTCCAATCTACTCTGTCTAAAGGAACGTTCAACTCTGTGAGTTGAATACACACACACAGAAAGAATTCACTGAGAATTCTTCTGTCTGGCATTACATGAAGAAATCCCGTTTCCAACGAAGGCCTCAAAGAGGTCCAAATATCCACTTGCAGATTCTGCAAAAAGAGTGTTTCAAAACCGCTCCATTAAAAGGAATGTTGAACTCTGTGAGTTGAATGCAAACATCACAACTCAGTTTCTGAGAATGCTTCTGACTAGATTTTATGGTAAGATATTTCCTTTTCTACCGTAGGCTTCAATGCCCTCTAAATACACCCTTGCAAATTCTAGAAAGAGACTGTTTCATAACTGCTCTATAGGAAGAAAGGTTGAACTCTGTGAGTTGAATGCAGAGATCACAACGTGGTTTCTGCGAATGATTCTTCGTAGTTTTTACATGAAGATATTTCGTTGTCTACCGTAGGCTTCAAAGCACTCAAAGTATTCACTTGGAACTTTTACAAAAAGAGTGTTAGAAAACTGCTCTTTCCAAAGTAAGGTTCAACTCTGTGAGTTGAATGCACACATAACAAACAAGAAGTTTCTGAGAATTCTTCTGTCCTGGTTTATATGAAAAAATCCCGTTTCCAACGAAGGCCTCAAAGACGTTTAAATATCCACTTGCAGACTTCACAAACAGAGTGTTTCCAAACTGCTCTATGAAAAGAAAGGTTAAACTACTGTGAGTTGAACGCACACATCACAAAGTAGTTTCTGAGAATGATACTGTCTAGTTTTTATACGAAGATATTTCCTTTCTACCATTGGCGTCAAAGCGCTAGAATTCTCCACTTGCAAATTCCACAAAAAGAGTGTTTCCAATCTGCTCTGTCTAAAGGAAGGTTCAACTCTGTGAGTTGAATACACACACACAAAGAAGCTACTGAGAATTCTTTTGTCAAGAATTATAAGAAGAAATCCCGTTTCCAACGAAGGCCTCAAAGAGTTCCAAATATCCACTTGCACACTGCACAAACTAAGTCTTTCCAAACTGCTCTATGCAAAGAAATGTTCAACTCTGTGAGTTTAATCCACACATCACAAAGCAGTTTCTGAGAATGATACTGTCTAGTTTTTATACGAAGATATTTCCTTTTGTACCATTGGCCTCATACTGCTAGAATTTTCCACTTGCAAATTCCACAAAAAGAGTGTTTCCAATCCGCTCTGTCTAAAGGAAGGTTCAACTCTCTGATTTGAATACATACATCCCAAAAGAAGTTACTGAGAATTCTTCTGTCTAGCATTATGTGAAGAAATCCCGTTTCCAACGAAAGCCTCAAAGAGGTCCTAATATCCAGTTGCAGAATTTACAAACTGACTGTTTCCAAACTCATCTATGAAAAGAAAGGTTAAACTCTGGGAGTTGAATGCACATATCACAAAGTAGTTCCTGAGAATGATTCTGTCTAGTTTTCATACGAAGATATTTCCTTTTCCACCAATGGCCTCAAAGTGCTTGAAATCTCCCCTTGCAAATTCCACAGACAAGTGTCTCAAATCTGCACTGTCTAAAGGAAGGTTCAACCCTGTGAGTTGAATACACACACACAGAAAAAAATTCACTGAGAATTCTATTGTCTATCATTACACGAAGAAATCCCGTTTACTACGAAGGCCTCAAAGAGGTCCAAAATTATCCAGCTGCAGACATTACAAACTGAGTGTTTCCAAAGTGCTCTATGAAAAGAAGTGTTAAACACTGTGAGTTCAATGCACACACCCCAAAGCAGTTTCTGAGAATGATTCCGTCTATTTTTTCTACGAAGATATTTCCTTTTCTGCCGTTGGCCTCAAAGCGCTTGAAATCTCCACTTGCAAATTCCACAAAAAGAGAGTTTCAAATCTGCTCTGTCTAAAGGAAGGTTCAACTCTGTGAGTTGAATACACACCACAAAAAGAAGTTACTGAGAATTCTTCTGTCTAGCATTATATGAAAAATCCCGTTTCCAACGAAGGCCACAAAGAGGTCCAAATATCCACTTGCAGATTCTGCAAAAAGAGTGTTTCCAAACTGCTCTATGAAAAGAAACGTTAAACTCTGTGAGTTGAACGCAAACATCACAAAGTTGTTTCTGAGAATGACTCCGTCTAGTTTTTATACGAAGATATTTCCTTTCCTACCATTCACTTCAAAGCGCTTGAAGTCTCCCCCTGAAAATTCCACAAAAAGTGTTTCCAATCTGCTCCGCCTAAAGGAAGCTTCAACTCTGTGACTTGAATACCCACAACCCAAAGAAGTTACTGAGAATTCTTCTGTCTAGCATTATATGAAGAAATCCCGTTTCCAACGAAGGCCTCAAATACATCCAAATATCCAGTTGCTGACTTTACAAACTGAGTGTTTCCAAACTGCTCTATGAAAAGAAAGGTTAAACACTGTGAGTTGAACACACACGTACCAAAGTAGTTTCTGAGAATGATTCTGTCTAGTTTGCATACGAAGATATTTCCTTTTCTACCATTGGCCTCAAAGCTCTGAAATCTCCACTTGCAAATTCCACAAAAAGAGAGTTTCAACTCTGCTGTTTCTAAAGGAAAGTTCAACTCTGAGAGTTGAATACACACCAGAAAAAGCAGTTACTGAGAAGTCTTCTGTCTAGCATTATATGAAGAAATCCCATTTCCAACGAAGACTTCAAAGAGGTCCAAATATCCACTTGCAGATTCTGCAAAAAGAGTGTTTCGAAACAACTGTATGAAAAGAAAGGTTAAACACTGTGAGTTGAACGCACACATTGCAAAGCAGTTTCTGAGAATGATTCCGTCTAATTATTATACGAAGGTATTTCCTTTTCTATCATTGGCCTCAAAGCGCTTGATACCTCCACCTGAAAATTCCACAAAAAGAGTGTTTCCAATCTATTCTGTCTAAAGGAACGTTCAACTCCGTGAGTTGAATACACACACACAGAAAGAATTCACTGAGAATTCTTCTGTCTGGCATTACATGAAGAAATCCCGTTTTCAACGAAGGCCTCAAAGAGGTCCAAATATCCACTTGCAGATTCTGCAAAAAGAGTGTTTCAAAACCGCTCCATGAAAAGGAATGTTGAACTCTGTGAGTTGAATGCAAACATCACAACTCAGTTTCTGAGAATGCTTCTGACTAGATTTTATGGTAAGATATTTCCTTTTCTACCGTAGGCTTCAATGCCCTCTAAATACACCCTTGCAAATTCTACAAAGAGACTGTTTCATAACTGCTCTATAGGAAGAAAGGTTCAACACTGTGAGTTGAATGCAGAGATCACAACGTGGTTTCTGCGAATGATTCTTCGTAGTTTTTACATGAAGATATTTCGTTGTCTACCGTAGGCTTCAAAGCACTCAAAGTATTCACTTGGAACTTTTACAAAAAGAGTGTTAGAAAACTGCTCTTTCCAAAGTAAGGTTCAACTCTGTAAGTTGAATGCACACATAACAAACAAGAAGTTTCTGAGAATTCTTCTGTCCTGGTTTATATGAAAAAATCCCGTTTCCAACGAAGGCCTCAAAGACGTTCAAATATCCACTTGCAGACTTCACAAACAGAGTGTTTCCAAACTGCTCTATGAAAAGAAAGGTTAAAGTCTGTGAGTTGAACGCACACATCACAAAGTAGTTTCTGAGAATGATACTGTCTAGTTTTTATACGGAGATATTTCCTTTCCTACCATTGGCGTCAAAGCGCTAGAATTCTCCACTTGCCAATTCCACAAAAAGTGGGTTTCCAATCTGCTCTGCCTAAAGGAAGGTTCAACTCTGTGAGTTGAATACACACACACAAAGAAGCTGCTGAGAATTCTTCTGTCTAGCATTATGTGAAGAAATCCCGTTTCCAACGAAAGCCTCAAAGAGGTCCAAATATCCAGTTGCAGAATTTACAAACTGACTGTTTCCAAACTCATCTATGAAAAGAAAGGTTAAACTCTGTGAGTTGAATGCACATATCACAAAGTAGTTCCTGAGAATGATTCTGTCTAGTTTTTATACGAAGATATTTCCTTTTCCACCAATGGCCTCAAAGTGCTTGAAATCTCCCCTTGCAAATTCCACAGACAAGTGTTTCAAATCTGCACTGTCTAAAGGAAGGTTCAACCCTGTGAGTTGAATACACACACACAGAAAAAAATTCACTGAGAATTCTACTGTCTATCATTACACGAAGAAATCCCGTTTACTGCGAAGGCCTCAAAGAGGTCCAAATATCCAGTTGCAAACCTTACAAACTGAGTGTTTCCAAAGTGCTCTATGAAAAGAAGTGTTAAACACTGTGAGTTGAACGCACACATCCCAAAGTAGTTTCTGAGAATGATTCCGTCTATTTTTTCTACGAAGATATTTCCTTTTCTGCCGTTGGCCTCAAAGCGCTTGAAATCTCCACTTGCAAATTCCACAAAAAGAGAGTTTCAAATCTGCTCTGTCTAAAGGAAGGTTCAACTCTGTGAGTTGAATACACACCACAAAAAGAAGTTACTGAGAATTCTTCTGTCTAGCATTATATGAAAAATCCCGTTTCCAACGAAGGCCACAAAGAGGTCCAAATATCCACTTGCAGATTCTGCAAAAAGAGTGTTTCCAAACTGCTCTATGAAAAGAAACGTTAAACTCTGTGAGTTGAACGCAAACATCACAAAGTAGTTTCTGAGAATGACTCCGTCTAGTTTTTATACGAAGATATTTCCTTTCCTACCATTCACTTCAAAGCGCTTGAAGTCTCCCCCTGAAAATTCCACAAAAAGTGTTTCCAATCTGCTCCGCCTAAAGGAAGCTTCAACTCTGTGAGTTGAATACCCACAACCCAAAGAAGTTACTGAGAATTCTTCTGTCTAGCATTATATGAAGAAATCCCGTTTCCAACGAAGGCCTCAAATACATCCAAATATCCAGTTGCTGACTTTACAAACTGAGTGTTTCCAAACTGCTCTATGAAAAGAAAGGTTAAACACTGTGAGTTGAACACACACGTACCAAAGTAGTTTCTGAGAATGATTCTGTCTAGTTTGCATACGAAGATATTTCCTTTTCTACCAGTGGCCTCAAAGCTCTGAAATCTCCACTTGCAAATTCCACAAAAAGAGAGTTTCAAATCTGCTGTTTCTAAAGGAAAGTTCAACTCTGAGAGTTGAATACACACCAGAAAAAGCAGTTACTGAGAAGTCTTCTGTCTAGCATTGTATGAAGAAATCCCATTTCCAACGAAGACTTCAAAGAGGTCCAAATATCCACTTGCAGATTCTGCAAAAAGAGTGTTTCGAAACAACTGTATGAAAAGAAAGGTTAAACACTGTGAGTTGAACGCACACATTGCAAAGCAGTTTCTGAGAATGATTCCGTCTAATTATTATACGAAGGTATTTCCTTTTCTATCATTGGCCTCAAAGCGCTTGATACCTCCACCTGAAAATTCCACAAAAAGAGTGTTTCCAATCTACTCTGTCTAAAGGAACGTTCAACTCTGTGAGTTGAATACACACACACAGAAAGAATTCACTGAGAATTCTTCTGTCTGGCATTACATGAAGAAATCCCGTTTCCAACGAAGGCCTCAAAGAGGTCCAAATATCCACTTGCAGATTCTGCAAAAAGAGTGTTTCAAAACCGCTCCATTAAAAGGAATGTTGAACTCTGTGAGTTGAATGCAAACATCACAACTCAGTTTCTGAGAATGCTTCTGACTAGATTTTATGGTAAGATATTTCCTTTTCTACCGTAGGCTTCAATGCCCTGTAAACACACCCTTGCAAATTCTACAAAGAGACTGCTTCATAACTGCTCTATAGGAGGAAAGGTTCAACTCTGTGAGTTGAATGCAGAGATCACAACGTGGTTTCTGCGAATGATTCTTTGTAGTTTTTACATGAAGATATTTCGTTGTCTACCGTAGGCTTCAAAGCACTCAAAGTATTCACTTGGAACTTTCACAAAAAGAGTGTTAGAAAACTGCTCTTTCCAAAGTAAGGTTCAACTCTGTGAGTTGAATGCACACATAACAAACAAGAAGTTTCTGAGAATTCTTCTGTCCTGGTTTATATGAAGAAATCCCGTTTCCAACGAAGGCCTCAAAGACGTTTAAATATCCACTTGCAGACTTCACAAACAGAGTGTTTCCAAACTGCTCTATGAAAAGAAAGGTTAAACACTGTGAGTTGAACGCACACCTCACAAAGTAGTTTCTGAGAATGATACTGTCTAGTTTTTATACGAAGATATTTCCTTTTGTACCATTGGCCTCATACTGCTAGAATTTTCCACTTGCAAATTCCACAAAAAGAGTGTTTCCAATCTGCTCTGTCTAAAGGAAGGTTCAACTCTGTGAGTTGAGTACACACACACAAAGAAGCTACTGAGAATTCTTTTGTCAAGAATTATAAGAAGAAATCCCGTTTCCAACCAAGGCCTCAAAGAGTTCCAAATATCCACTTGCACACTGCACAAACTAAGTCTTTCCATACTGCTCTATGCAAAGAAATGTTCAAATCTGTGAGTTTAATACACACATCACAAAGCAGTTTCTGAGAATGATACTGTCTAGTTTTTATACGAAGATATTTCCTTTTGTACCATTGGCCTCATACTGCTAGAATTTTCCACTTGCAAATTCCACAAAAAGAGTGTTTCCAATCCGCTCTGTCTAAAGGAAGGTTCAACTCTCTGATTTGAATACATACATCCCAAAAGAAGTTACTGAGAATTCTTCTGTCTAGCATTATGTGAAGAAATCCCGTTTCCAACGAAAGCCTCAAAGAGGCCCAAATATCCAGTTGCAGCATTTACAAACTGACTGTTTCCAAACTCATCTATGAAAAGAAAGGTTAAACTCTGTGAGTTGAATGCACATATCACAAAGTAGTTCCTGAGAATGATTCTGTCTAGTTTTTATACGAAGATATTTCCTTTTCCACCAATGGCCTCAAAGTGCTTGAAATCTCCCCTTGCAAATTCCACAGACAAGTGTCTCAAATCTGCACTGTCTAAAGGAAGGTTCAACCCTGTGAGTTGAATACACACACACAGAAAAAAATTCACTGAGAATTCTTCTATTGTCTATCATTACACGAAGAAATCCCGTTTACTACGAAGGCCTCAAAGAGGTCCAAATATCTAGCTGCAGACATTACAAACTGAGTGTTTCCAAAGTGCTCTATGAAAAGAAGTGTTAAACACTGTGAGTTCAATGCACACATCCCAAAGCAGTTTCTGAGAATCATTCCGTCTATTTTTTCTACGAAGATATTTCCTTTCCTACCATTGGCCTCAAAGCGCTTGAAATCTCCACTTGCAAATTCCACAAAAAGAGAGTTTGAAATCTGCTCTGTCTAAAGGAAGGTTCAACTCTGTGAGTTGAATACACACCACAAAAAGAAGTTACTGAGAATTCTTCTGTCTAGCATTATATGAAAAATCCCGTTTCCAACGAAGGCCACAAAGAGGTCCAAATATCCACTTGCCGATTCTGCAAAAAGAGTGTTTCCAAACTGCTCTATGAAAGGAAAGGTTAAACACTGTGAGTTGAACACACACGTACCAAAGTAGTTTCTGAGAATGATTCCGTCTAGTTTTTATACGAAGATATTTCCTTTCCTACCATTCACTTCAAAGCGCTTGAAGTCTCCCCCTGAAAATTCCACAAAAAGTGTTTCCAATCTGCTCCACCTAAAGGAAGCTTCAACTCTGTGACTTGAATACCCACAACCCAAAGAAGTTACTGAGAATTCTTCTGTCTAGCATTATATGAAGAAATCCCGTTTCCAACGAAGGCCTCAAATACATCCAAATATCCAGTTGCTGACTTTACAAACTGAGTGTTTCCAAACTGCTCTATGAAAAGAAAGGTTAAACACTGTGAGTTGAACACACACGTACCAAAGTAGTTTCTGAGAATGATTCTGTCTAGTTTGCATACGAAGATATTTCCTTTTCTACCATTGGCCTCAAAGCTCTGAAATCTCCACTTGCAAATTCCACAAAAAGAGAGTTTCAAATCTGCTGTTTCTAAAGGAAAGTTCAACTCTGAGAGTTGAATACACACCAGAAAAAGCAGTTACTGAGAAGTCTTCTGTCTAGCATTATATGAAGAAATCCCATTTCCAACGAAGACTTCAAAGAGGTCCAAATATCCACTTGCAGATTCTGCAAAAAGAGTGTTTCGAAACAACTGTATGAAAAGAAAGGTTAAACACTGTGAGTTGAACGCACACATTGCAAAGCGGTTTCTGAGAATGATTCCGTCTAATTATTATACGAAGGTATTTCCTTTTCTATCATTGGCCTCAAAGCGCTTGATACCTCCACCTGAAAATTCCACAAAAAGAGTGTTTCCAATCTACTCTGTCTAAAGGAACGTTCAACTCTGTGAGTTGAATACACACACACAGAAAGAATTCACTGAGAATTCTTCTGTCTGGCATTACATGAAGAAATCCCGTTTCCAACGAAGGCCTCAAAGAGGTCCAAATATCCACTTGCAGATTCTGCAAAAAGAGTGTTTCAAAACCGCTCCATTAAAAGGAATGTTGAACTCTGTGAGTTGAATGCAAACATCACAACTCAGTTGCTGAGAATGCTTCTGACTAGATTTTATGGTAAGATATTTCCTTTTCTACCGTAGGCTTCAATGCCCTCTAAATACACCCTTGCAAATTCTAGAAAGAGACTGTTTCATAACTGCTCTATAGGAAGAAAGGTTGAACTCTGTGAGTTGAATGCAGAGATCACAACGTGGTTTCTGCGAATGATTCTTCATAGTTTTTACATGAAGATATTTCGTTGTCTACCGTAGGCTTCAAAGCACTCAAAGTATTCACTTGGAACTTTTACAACAAGAGTGTTAGAAAACTGCTCTTTCCAAAGTAAGGTTCAACTCTGTGAGTTGAATGCACACATAACAAACAAGAAGTTTCTGAGAATTCTTCTGTCCTGGTTTATATGAAAAAATCCCGTTTCCAACGAAGGCCTCAAAGACGTTTAAATATCCACTTGCACACTTCACAAACAGAGTGTTTCCAAACTGCTCTATGAAAAGAAAGGTTAAACTCTGTGAGTTGAACGCACACATCACAAAGTAGTTTCTGAGAATGATTACTGTCTAGTTTTTATACGAAGCATATTTCCTTTCTACCATTGGCGTCAAAGCGCTAGAATTCTCCACTTGCAAATTCCACAAAAAGAGTGTTTCCAATCTGCTCTGTCTAAAGGAAGGTTCAACTCTGTGAGTTGAATACACACACACAAAGAAGCTACTGAGAATTCTTTTGTCAAGAATTATAAGAAGAAATCCCGTTTCCAACGAAGGCCTCAAAGAGTTCCAAATATCCACTTGCACACTGTACAAACTAAGTCTTTCCAAACTGCTCTATGCAAAGAAATGTTCAACTCTGTGAGTTCAATGCACACATCACAAAGCAGTTTCTGAGAATGAGACTGTCTAGTTTTTATACGAAGATATTTCCTTTTGTACCATTGGCCTCATACTGCTAGAATTTTCCACTTGCAAATTCCACAAAAAGAGTGTTTCCAATCCGCTCTGTCTAAAGGAAGGTTCAACTCTCTGATTTGAATACATACATCCCAAAAGAAGTTACTGAGAATTCTTCTGTCTAGCATTATGTGAAGAAATCCCGTTTCCAACGAAAGCCTCAAAGAGGTCCAAATATCCAGTTGCAGAATTTACAAACTGACTGTTTCCAAACTCATCTATGAAAAGAAAGGTTAAACTCTGGGAGTTGAATGCACATATCACAAAGTAGTTCCTGAGAATGATTCTGTCTAGTTTTCATACGAAGATATTTCCTTTTCCACCAATGGCCTCAAAGTGCTTGAAATCTCCCCTTGCAAATTCCACAGACAAGTGTTTCAAATCTGCACTGTCTAAAGGATGGTTCAACCCTGTGAGTTGAATACACACACACAGAAAAAAATTCACTGAGAATTCTATTGTCTATCATTACACGAAGAAATCCCGTTTACTACGAAGGCCTCAAAGAGGTCCAAATATCCAGCTGCAGACATTATAAACTGAGTGTTTCCAAAGTGCTCTATGAAAAGAAGTGTTAAACACTGTGAGTTCAATGCACACATCCCAAAGCAGTTTCTGAGAATGATTCCGTCTATTTTTTTCTAAGAAGATATTTCCTTTTCTACCGTTGGCCTCAAAGCGCTTGAAATCTCCACTTGCAAATTCCACAAAAAGAGAGCTTCAAATCTGCTCTGTCTAAAGGAAGGTTCAACTCTGTGAGTTGAATACTCACCACAAAAAGAAGTTACTGAGAATTCTTCTGTCTAGCATTATATGAAAAATCCCGTTTCCAACGAAGGCCACAAAGAGGTCCAAATATCCACTTGCAGATTCTGCAAAAAGAGTGTTTCCAAACTGCTCTATGAAAAGAAACGTTAAACTCTGTGAGTTGAACGCAAACATCACAAAGTAGTTTCTGACAATGACTCCGTCTAGTTTTTATACGAAGATATTTCCTTTCCTACCATTCACTTCAAAGCGCTTGAAGTCTCCCCCTGAAAATTCCACAAAAAGTGTTTCCAATCTGCTCCGCCTAAAGGAAGCTTCAACTCTGTGACTTGAATACCCACAACCCAAAGAAGTTACTGAGAATTCTTCTGTCTAGCATTATATGAAGAAATCCCGTTTCCAACGAAGGCCTCAAATACATCCAAATATCCAGTGGCTGACTTTACAAACTGAGTGTTTCCAAACTGCTCTATGAAAAGAAAGGTTAAACACTGTGAGTTGAACACACACGTACCAAAGTAGTTTCTGAGAATGATTCTGTCTAGTTTGCATACGAAGATATTTCCTTTTCTACCATTGGCCTCAAAGCTCTGAAATCTCCACTTGCAAATTCCACAAAAAGAGAGTTTCAAATCTGCTGTTTCTAAAGGAAAGTTCAACTCTGAGAGTTGAATACACACCAGAAAAAGCAGTTACTGAGAAGTCTTCTGTCTAGCATTATATGAAGAAATCCCATTTCCAACGAAGACTTCAAAGAGGTCCAAATATCCACTTGCAGATTCTGCAAAAAGAGTGTTTCGAAACAACTGTATGAAAAGAAAGGTTAAACACTGTGAGTTGAACGCACACATTGCAAAGCAGTTTCTGAGAATGATTCCGTCTAATTATTATACGAAGGTATTTCCTTTTCTATCATTGGCCTCAAAGCGCTTGATACCTCCACCTGAAAATTCCACAAAAAGAGTGTTTCCAATCTACTCTGTCTAAAGGAACGTTCAACTCTGTGAGTTGAATACACACACACAGAAAGAATTCACTGAGAATTCTTCTGTCTGGCATTACATGAAGAAATCCCGTTTCCAACGAAGGCCTCAAAGAGGTCCAAATATCCACTTGCAGATTCTGCAAAAAGAGTGTTTCAAAACCGCTCCATTAAAAGGAATGTTGAACTCTGTGAGTTGAATGCAAACATCACAACTCAGTTTCTGAGAATGCTTCTGACTAGATTTTATGGTAAGATATTTCCTTTTCTACCGTAGGCTTCAATGCCCTGTAAATACACCCTTGCAAATTCTACAAAGAGACTGTTTCATAACTGCTCTATTGGAGGAAAGGTTCAACTCTGTGAGTTGAATGCAGAGATCACAACGTGGTTTCTGCGAATGATTCTTTGTAGTTTTTACATGAAGATATTTCGTTGTCTACCGTAGGCTTCAAAGCACTCAAAGTATTCACTTGGAACTTTTACAAAAAGAGTGTTAGAAAACTGCTCTTTCCAAAGTAAGGTTCAACTCTGTGAGTTGAATGCACACATAACAAACAAGAAGTTTCTGAGAATTCTTCTGTCCTGGTTTATAGGAAGAAATCCCGTTTCCAACGAAGGCCTCAAAGACGTTTAAATATCCACTTGCAGACTTCACAAACAGAGTGTTTCCAAACTGCTCTATGAAAAGAAAGGGTAAACACTGTGAGTTGAACGCACACATCACAAAGTAGTTTCTGAGAATGATACTGTCTAGTTTTTATACGAAGATATTTCCTTTTGTACCATTGGCCTCATACTGCTAGAATTTTCCACTTGCAAATTCCACAAAAAGAGTGTTTCCAATCCGCTCTGTCTAAAGGAAGGTTCAACTCTCTGATTTGAATACATACATCCCAAAAGAAGTTACTGAGAATTCTTCTGTCTAGCATTATGTGAAGAAATCCCGTTTCCAACGAAAGCCTCAAAGAGGCCCAAATATCCAGTTGCAGAATTTACAAACTGACTGTTTCCAAACTCATCTATGAAAAGAAAGGTTAAACTCTGTGAGTTGAATGCACATATCACAAAGTAGTTCCTGAGAATGATTCTGTCTAGTTTTTATACGAAGATATTTCCTTTTCCACCAATGGCCTCAAAGTGCTTGAAATCTCCCCTTGCAAATTCCACAGACAAGTGTTTCAAATCTGCACTGTCTAAAGGAAGGTTCAACCCTGTGAGTTGAATACACACACACACAGAAAAAAATTCACTGAGAATTCTATTGTCTATCATTACACGAAGAAATCCCGTTTACTACGAAGGCCTCAAAGAGGTCCAAATATCCAGCTGCAGACATTACAAACTGAGTGTTTCCCAAGTGCTCTATGAAAAGAAGTGTTAAACACTGTGAGTTCAATGCACACATCCCAAAGCAGTTTCTGAGAATGATTCCGTCTATTTTTTTCTACGAAGATATTTCCTTTTCTGCCGTTGGCCTCAAAGCGCTTGAAATCTCCACTTACAAATTCCACAAAAAGAGAGTTTCAGATCTGCTCTGTCTAAAGTAAGGTTCAACTCTGTGAGTTGAATACACACCACAAAAAGAAGTTACTGAGAATTCTTCTGTCTAGCATTATATGAAAAATCCCGTTTCCAACGAAGGCCACAAAGAGGTCCAAATATCCACTTGCCGATTCTGCAAAAAGAGTGTTTCCAAACTGCTCTATGAAAGGAAAGGTTAAACACAGTGAGTTGAACACACACGTACCAAAGTAGTTTCTGAGAATGATTCCGTCTAGTTTTTATACAAAGATATTTCCTTTTCTACCGTTGGCCTCAAAGCGCTTGAAGTCTCCCCCTGAAAATTCCACAAAAAGTGTTTCCAATCTGCTCCGCCTAAAGGAAGCTTCAGCTCTGTGAGTTGAATACCCACAACCCAAAGAAGTTACTGAGAATTCTTCTGTCTAGCATTATATGAAGAAATCCCGTTTCCAACGAAGGCCTCAAATACATCCAAATATCCAGTTGCTGACTTTACAAACTGAGTGTTTCCAAACTGCTCTATGAAAAGAAAGGTTAAACACTGTGAGTTGAACACACACGTACCAAAGTAGTTTCTGAGAATGATTCTGTCTAGTTTGCATACGAAGATATTTCCTTTTCTACCACTGGCCTCAAAGCTTTGAAATCTCCACTTGCAAATTCCACAAAAAGAGAGTTTCAAATCTGCTGTTTCTAAAGGAAAGTTCACCTCTGAGAGTTGAATACACACCAGAAAAAGCAGTTACTGAGAAGTCTTCTGTCTAGCATTATATGAAGAAATCCCATTTCCAACGAAGACTTCAAAGGAGGTCCAAATATCCACTTGCAGGTTCTGCAAAAAGAGTGTATCGAAACAACTGTATGAAAAGAAAGGTTAAACGCTGTGAGTTGAAGGCACACATTGCAAAGCAGTTTCTGAGATTGATTCCGTCTAATTATTATACGAAGGTATTTCCTTTTCTATCATGGGCCTCAAAGCGCTTGATACCTCCACCTGAAAATTCCACAAAAAGAGTGTTTCCAATCTACTCTGTCTAAAGGAACGTTCAACTCTGTGAGTTGAATACAAACACACAGAAAGAATTCACTGAGAGTTCTTCTGTCTGGCATTACATGAAGAAATCCCGTTTCCAACGAAGGCCTCAAAGAGGTCCAAATATCCACTTGCAGATTCTGCAAAAAGAGTGTTTCAAAACCGCTCCATGAAAAGGAATGTTGAACTCTGTGAGTTGAATGTAAACATCACAACTCAGTTTCTGAGAATGCTTCTGACTAGATTTTATGGTAAGATATTTCCTTTTCTACCGTAGGCTTCAATGCCCTCTAAATACACCCTTGCAAATTCTACAAAGAGACTGTTTCATAACTGCTCTATAGGAAGAAAGGTTCAACTCCGTGAGTTGAATGCAGAGATCACAACGTGGTTTCTGCGAATGATTCTTTGTAGTTTTTACATGAAGATATTTCGTTGTCAACCGTAGGCTTCAAAGCACTCAAAGTATTCACTTGGAACTTTTACAAAAAGAGTATTAGAAAACTGCTCTTTCCAAAGTAAGGTTCAACTCTGTGAGTTGAATGCACACATAACAATCAAGAAGTTTCTGAGAATTCTTCTGTCCTGGTTTATATGAAAAAATCCCGTTTCCAACGAAGGCCTCAAAGACGTTTAAATATCCACTTGCAGACTTCACAAACAGAGTGTTTCCAAACTGCTCTATGAAAAGAAAGGTTAAACTCTGTGAGTTGAACGCACACATCACAAAGTAGCTTCTGAGAATGATACTGTCTAGTTTTTATACGAAGATATTTCCTTTCTACCATTGGCGTCAAAGCGCTAGAATTCTCCACTTGCAAATTCCACAAAAAGAGTGTTTCCAATCTGCTCTGTCTAAAGGAAGGTTCAACTCTGTGAGTTGAATACACATACACAAAGAAGCTACTGAGAATTCTTTTGTCAAGAATTATAAGAAGAAATCCCGTTTCCAACGAAGGCCTCAAAGAGTTCCAAATATCCACTTGCACACTGTACAAACTAAGTCTTTCCAAACTGCTCTATGCAAAGAAATGTTCAACTCTGTGCGTTTAATGCACACATCACAAAGCCGTTTCTGAGAATGATACTGTCTAGTTTTTGTACGAAGATATTTCCTTTTGTACCATTGGCCTCATACTGCTAGAATTTTCCACTTGCAAATTCCACAAAAAGAGTGTTTCCAATCCGCTCTGTCTAAAGGAAGGTTCAACTCTCTGATTTGAATACATACATCCCAAAAGAAGTTACTGAGAATTCTTCTGTCTAGCATTATGTGAAGAAATCCCGTTTCCAACGAAAGCCTCAAAGAGGTCCTAATATCCAGTTGCAGAATTTACAAACTGACTGTTTCCAAACTCATCTATGAAAAGAAAGGTTAAACCCTGTGAGTTGAACGCACATATCACAAATTAGTTCCTGAGAATGATTCTGTCTAGTTTTTATACGAAGAAATTTCCTTTTCCACCAATGGCCTCAAAGTGCTTGAAATCTCCCCTTGCAAATTCCACAGAAAAGTGTTTCAAATCTGCACTGTCTGAAGGATGGTTCAACCCTGTGAGTTGAATACACACACACAGAAAAAAATTCACTGAGAATTCTATTGTCTATCATTACACGAAGAAATCCCGTTTACTACGAAGGCCTCAAAGAGTTCCAAATATCCAGCTGCAGACATTACAAACTGAGTGTTTCCAAAGTGCTCTATGAAAAGAAGTGTTAAACACTGTGAGTTCAATGCACACATCCCAAAGCAGTTTCTGAGAATGATTCCGTCTATTTTTTCTACGAAGATATTTCCTTTTCTGCCGTTGGCCTCAAAGCGCTTGAAATATCCACTTGCAAATTCCACAAAAAGAGAGTTTCAAATCTGCTCTGTCTAAAGGAAGGTTCAACTCTGTGAGTTGAATACACACCACAAAAAGAAGTTACTGAGAATTCTTCTGTCTAGCATTATATGAAAAATCCCGTTTCCAACGAAGGCCACAAAGAGGTCCAAATATCCACTTGCAGATTCTGCAAAAAGAGTGTTTCCAAACTGCTCTATGAAAAGAAACGTTAAACTCTGTGAGTTGAACGCAAACATCACAAAGTAGTTTCTGAGAATGACTTCCGTCTAGTTTTTATACGAAGCATATTTCCTTTCCTACCATTCACTTCAAAGCGCTTGAAGTCTCCCCCTGAAAATTCCACAAAAAGTGTTTCCAATCTGCTCCGCCTAAAGGAAGCTTCAACTCTGTGACTTGAATACCCACAACCCAAAGAAGTTACTGAGAATTCTTCTGTCTAGCATTACATGAAGAAATCCCGTTTCCATCGAAGGCCTCAAATACATCCAGATATCCAGTTGCTGACTTTACAAACTGAGTGTTTCCAAACTGCTCTATGAAAGGAAAGGTTAAACACTGTGAGTTGAACACACACGTACCAAAGTAGTTTCTGAGAATGATTCTGTCTAGTTTGCATAGGAAGATATTTCCTTTTCTACCATTGGCCTCAAAGCTTTGAAATCTCCACTTGCAAATTCCACAAAAAGAGATTCAAATCTGCTGCTTCTAAAGGAAAGTTCAACTCTGACAGTTGAATACACACCAGAAAAAGCAGTTACTGAGACGTCTTCTGTCCAACATTATATGAAGAAATCCCATTTCCAACGAAGACTTCAAAGAGGTCCAAATATCCACTTGCAGATTCTGCAAAAAGAGTGTTTCAAAACAACTGTATGAAAAGAAAGGTTAAACACTGTGAGTTGAACGCACACATTGCAAAGCAGTTTCTGAGAATGATTCCGTCTAATTATACGAAGGTATTTCCTTTTCTATCATGGGCCTCAAAGCGCTTGATACCTCCACCTGAAAATTCCACAAAAAGAGTGTTTCCAATCTACTCTGTCTAAAGGAACGTTCAACTCTGTGAGTTGAATACACACACACAGAAAGAATTCACTGAGAGTTCTTCTGTCTGGCATTACATGAAGAAATACCGTTTCCAACGAAGGCCTCAAAGAGGTCCAAATATCCACTTGCAGATTCTGCAAAAAGAGTGTTTCAAAACCGCTCCATGAAAAGGAATGTTGAACTCTGTGAGTTGAATGCAAACATCACAACTCAGTTTCTGAGAATGCTTCTGACTAGATTTTATGGTCAGATATTTCCTTTTCTACCGTAGGCTTCAATACCCTCTAAATACACCCTTGCAAATTCTACAAAGAGACTGTTTAATAACTGCTCTATAGGAAGAAAGGTTGAACTCTGTATGTTGAATGCAGAGATCACAACGTGGTTTCGGCGAATGATTCTTTGTAGTTTTTACATGAAGATATTTCGTTGTCTACCGTAGGCTTCAAAGCACTCAAAGTATTCACTTGGAACTTTCACAAAAAGAGTGTTAGAAAACTGCTCTTTCCAAAGTAAGGTTTAACTCTTTGATTTGAATGCACACATAACAAACAAGAAGTTTCTGAGAATTCTTCTGTCCTGGTTTATATGAAGAAATCCCGTTTCCACCGAAGGCCTCAAAGACGTTCAAATATCCACTTCCAGACTTCACAAACAGAGTGCTTCCAAACTGCTCTATGAAAAGAAAGGTTAAACTCTGTGAGTTGAACACACATCACAAAGTAGTTTCTGAGAATGATACTGTCTAGTTTTTATACGAAGATATTACCTTTTCTACCATTGACCTCAAATCGCTAGAATTCTCCACTTGCAAATTCCACAAAAAGAGTGTTTCCAATCTGCTCTGTCTAAAGGAAGGTTCAACTCTGTGAGTTGAGTACACACACACAAAGAAGCTACTGAGAATTCTTTTGTCAAGAATTATAAGAAGAAATCCCGTTTCCAACGAAGGCCTCAAAGAGTTCCAAATATCCACTTGCACACTGTACAAACTAAGTCTTTCCAAACTGCTCTATGCAAAGAAATGTTCAACTCTGTGAGTTTAATACACACATCACAAAGCAGTTTCTGAGAATGATACTGTCTAGTTTTTATACGAAGATATTTCCTTTTGTACCATTGGCCTCATACTGCTAGAATTTTCCACTTGCAAATTCCACAAAAAGAGTGTTTCCAATCCGCTCTGTCTAAAGGAAGGTTCAACTCTCTGATTTGAATACATACATCCCAAAAGAAGTTACTGAGAATTCTTCTGTCTAGCATTATGTGAAGAAATCCCGTTTCCAACGAAAGCCTCAAAGAGGTCCAAATATCCAGTTGCAGAATTTACAAACTGACTGTTTCCAAACTCATCTATGAAAAGAAAGGTTAAACTCTGTGAGTTGAATGCACATATCACAAAGTAGTTCCTGAGAATGATTCTGTCTAGTTTTTATACAAAGATATTTCCTTTTCCACCAATGGCCTCAAAGTGCTTGAAATCTCCCCTTGCAAATTCCACAGACAAGTGTTTCAAATCTGCACTGTCTAAAGGAAGGTTCAACCCTGTGAGTTGAATACACACACACAGAAAAAAATTCACTGAGAATTCTACTGTCTATCATTACACGAAGAAATCCCGTTTACTGCGAAGGCCTCAAAGAGGTCCAAATATCCAGTTGCAAACCTTACAAACTGAGTGTTTCCAAAGTGCTCTATGAAAAGAAGTGTTAAACACTGTGAGTTGAACGCACACATCACAAAGTAGTTTCTGAGAATGATTCCGTCTATTTTTTCTACGAAGATATTTCCTTTTCTACCATTGGCCTCAAAGCGCTTGAAATCTCCACTTGCAAATTCCACAAAAAGAGAGTTTCAAATCTGCTCTGTCTAAAGGAAGGTTCAACTCTGTGAGTTGAATACACACCACAAAAAGAAGTTACTGAGAATTCTTCTGTCTAGAATTATATGAAAAATCCCGATTCCAACGAAGGCCACAAAGAGGTCCAAATATCCACTTACAGATTCTGCAAAAAGAGTGTTTCCAAACTGCTCTATGAAAAGAAACGTTAAACTCTGTGAGTTGAACGCAAACATCACAAAGTAGTTTCTGAGAATGACTCCGTCTAGTTTTTATACGAAGATATTTCCTTTCCTACCATTCACTTCAAAGCGCTTGAAGTCTCCCCCTGAAAATTCCACAAAAAGTGTTTCCAATCTGCTCCGCCTAAAGGAAGCTTCAACTCTGTGACTTGAATACCCACAACCCAAAGAAGTTACTGAGAATCTTTTGTCAAGAAATTATAAGAAGAAATCCCGTTTCCAACGAAGGCCTCAAATACATCCAAATATCCAGTTGCTGACTTTACAAACTGAGTGTTTCCAAACTGCTCTATGAAAAGAAAGGTTAAACACTGTGAGTTGAACACACACGTACCAAAGTAGTTTCTGAGAATGATTCTGTCTAGTTTGCATACGAAGATATTTCCTTTTCTACCACTGGCCTCAAAGCTTTGAAATCTGCACTTGCAAATTCCACAAAAAGAGAGTTTCAAATCTGCTGTTTCTAAAGGAAAGTTCAACTCTGAGAGTTGAATACACACCAGAAAAAGCAGTTACTGAGAAGTCTTCTGTCTAGCATTATATGAAGAAATCCCATTTCCAACGAAGACTTCAAAGAGGTCCAAATATCCACTTGCAGATTCTGCAAAAAGTGTGTTTCGAAACAACTGTATGAAAAGAAAGGTTAAACGCTGTGAGTTGAAGGCACACATTGCAAAGCAGTTTCTGAGAATGATTCCGTCTAATTATTATACGAAGGTATTTCCTTTTCTATCATGGGACGCAAAGCGCTTGATACCTCCACCTGAAAATTCCACAAAAAGAGTGTTTCCAATCTACTCTGTCTAAAGGAACGTTCAACTCTGTGAGTTGAATACACACACACAGAAAGAATTCACTGAGAGTTCTTCTGTCTGGCATTACATGAAGAAATCCCGTTTCCAACGAAGGCCTCAAAGAGGTCCAAATATCCACTTGCAGATTCTGCAAAAAGAGTGTTTCAAAACCGCTCCATTAAAAGGAATGTTGAACTCTGTGAGTTGAATGCAAACATCACAACTCAGTTGCTGAGAATGCTTCTGACTAGATTTTATGGTAAGATATTTCCTTTTCTACCGTAGGCTTCAATGCCCTCTAAATACACCCTTGCAAATTCTAGAAAGAGACTGTTTCATAACTGCTCTATAGGAAGAAAGGTTGAACTCTGTGAGTTGAATGCAGAGATCACAACGTGGTTTCTGCGAATGATTCTTTGTAGTTTTTACATGAAGATATTTCGTTGTCAACCGTAGGCTTCAAAGCACTCAAAGTATTCACTTGGAACTTTTACAAAAAGAGTATTAGAAAACTGCTCTTTCCAAAGTAAGGTTCAACTCTGTGAGTTGAATGCACACATAACAATCAAGAAGTTTCTGAGAATTCTTCTGTCCTGGTTTATATGAAAAAATCCCGTTTCCAACGAAGGCCTCAAAGACGTTTAAATATCCACTTGCAGACTTCACAAACAGAGTGTTTCCAAACTGCTCTATGAAAAGAAAGGTTAAACTCTGTGAGTTGAACGCACACATCACAAAGTAGCTTCTGAGAATGATACTGTCCAGTTTTTATACGAAGATATTTCCTTTCCTACCATTGGCGTCAAAGGGCTAGAATTCTCCACTTGCAAATTCCTCAAAAAGAGGGTTTCCAATCTGCTCTGCCTAAAGGCAGGTTCAACTCTGTGAGTTGAATACACACACACAAGGAAGCTACTGAGAATTCT